>NC_000014.9:16228749-16282882 GCF_000001405.40 Homo sapiens | reverse complement strand
TCTGTGTAGTTTTTCTGTGAAGATACTTCCTTTGTCACCATTGGCCTCAAAGCACTCCTAATATCCATTTACAGATGTCACAGAAAGAGTGTTTCCAAACTGCTCCATCAAAAGAAAGTGTTTAACTCTGTGAGGTGAAAGCACACATCTCAAAGAAGTTTCTCCGAAAGCTTCGGTCTAGTTTTCATGTGATGATATTTCCAGTCTCACCATAGGCCTCAAAGGGCTAAGAAATATCCCTTTCCAGATTCTAAAAGACCACCATTTCCATACTTCTCAATCAAAAGAAAGGTTACATTCTGTGAGGTTAATGCACACATCAGAATGAAGTTTCTCAGAATTCTCCTGTCTAGTTTTCACGTGAAGATATTTACTATTTCACTATAGGCTTCAAATGTCTCAAAAATATCCCTTTGCAGATTCTACAAAAATATGCTTTCCAAAGTGCTGAATTAAAAGAAACCTTCAACTCTGTCAGATGAATGGAGACATCACGAAGAAGTTCCTCAGAATGCTTCTGTCTAGTTTAAATGTGAAGATATTTCTTTTTCACCATAGACCTCAAAGGGCTCAGAATTAGACCTTTGCAGATTGCAGAGAAAGACTGTCTCTAAACTGCTCAAATAAAATAAAGTTTCAACACGGTGAGATGAATGTACACATCACAAAGAAGTTCCTCAGAAAGCTTCTGTCTGGTTTTTATGTGAAGATATTTCCTTTTTCACCATAGGTCTTACACCGCTCACGAATATCCTTCTGCAGATACTATAAAAAGACGGTTTCCAAACTGCTCCATCAAAAGAAAATTTCACCTATCTGAGATGAATGCACACATCATACAGAAGTTCCTCAGAATTCTTCTGTCTAGTTTTTATGTGAAGGTGTTTCCATTTTCACATTAGGCCACAAAGCGCCCCAAACATCCATTTGCAGATGATACGAAAAGACTGTTTCCACACTGCTCAATCAAAAGAAATTTTCAACTCTGTGAGATGAAAGCACACATCACAAAAAAGTTTCTCAGAAATCTTCTGTCTCGCTTTTATCTCAAGATAATTCCTATTTTGCCATAGGAATCAAGGGGCTCACATATACCCCTTTGCAGATTCTACAAATGTTCTCCTTACAAACTTCTCAATCAAAAGAAACGTTCAACATTGTGAGATGAATGAACACATCCCAAAGACGTTTCTCAGGTTGCTTCTGTCTGGTTGCTATGTGAAGATGTTTCCTTTTTCACCATGGTCTTTAAGCCACTCAAACATACCTGTCTGCAGACTCTACAAAAAGACTGTTTCCAAACTGGCCCATATAGCATGTTTCAACTATGTGAAATGAATGCACTCATCAAAAAGAAGTTTCTCAGGATTCTCCTGTCTAGTTTTTATGTGAAGATATTTCCTTTTTCACCGTAGGCCACAAATTGCTCCAAATATCCATTTGCAGATTCTACAAAAAGAATGTTCCCAAACTGGTCAATCAAAAGAAAGGCGCAACTCTGTGAGACGAAAGCACACATCACAAAGAAGTTTCTCGGAAAGCCTCTGTCTGCATTTTATGTGAAGGTATTTCCTTTGGCACCATAGACCTTAAACCGCTCGCAAATATAACTCCACTTATACTACCAAGAGACTTTCTCCAAATTGCTAAATCAAAAGAAAGGTTCAACTCTTTGAGATGAATACACACATCAAAAAGAAGTTTCTCAAAATGCTTCTGTCTAGTTTTCATGGGAAGACATTTATTTTTCACCGATGGCCCAAAACCGCTCAGAAATATCCCTTTGCAGTTTGTAGAAAAAGACTGCTTCCAAACTGCTCAATGAAAGGAAATGGTCAACTATTAGAGATGAATGGAAATGTCGCAAAGAGTTTTCTCAAAAAGCTACTGTGTCGTTTTTATGTGAAGACATTGCCTCTTGCACCCTAGGCCTTAAAACTCTCTAAATACACATTCACAGATTCTACAAAAAGACTGATTCCAAACTGCTCAATCAGAAGAAGGGTTCAATTCCGTGTGACAAACGTGCACATCACCAAGAAATTTGTCAGAAAGCCTCTGTCTACTTTTTATGTGAAGATATTTCATATTTCAACAAAGGCCATAAAGGGCTCACAAATATCCCTTCGCAGATTCTAAGAAAAGACGTTTTCCAAACTCCTCAATCAAAAGAAAGGTTTAACTCTGTGTGATGAATGGACACATCATGAAGAAGTTTCTCAGAAAGCTTCTGTCTAGTTTTTCTGTGAAGATATTTCTTTTTCACCATAGGCCTCAAGCAGCTAAGAAATTTCCCTCTGCAGCTTCTACCAAAGACTGTTTCCAAACTGCTCAAGTGAAAGAAAGGTTGAATTCTGTGACATGAATTCACACATCACAAAGAGGTTTTTCAGAAATCTCCTGTCTGGTTTTTAGGTGAAGATACTTCCTTTTTCAAAACGGGCCTCAAATATCTCCAAATATCCATTTGCAGATTCTACAGAAAGACTTTCCAAACTGCTCAATCAAAAGAAAGGTTCAACACTGTGAGATGAAGGCACACATCACCAAGAAGTTTCTCAGAAACCTTCTGTCTAGTTTTTAGGTGAAGATACTTCGTATTTCACCACAGGCCATAAAGGGCTCACAAATATCCCTTTGCAGGTTCTACAAAAAGACTGTTTCCAAACTGCCCAATCAAAGGAGAGGTTCAACTCTGTGACGTGAATGGACACATCACAAAAAATTTCTTGGAATGCTTCCGTCTAGTTTTTATGGGAAGATATTTCTCTTTCACCATAAGCCTCAAACGGATCAGAATTCTCCCTTTGCAGATTGTACGATAAGCCTCTTTCCAATCTGCTCAATCAAAAGAAAGTTTCCACTCGGTGAGGTGAATGCACACAACGCAAGGGAGTTTCTCAGAAAGCTTCTGTTTAGTTTTTACGTGAAGATATTTCGTTTTTCACCACGGGCCTCAAAAGCTCTCCAAATATCCATTTGCATATTCTAGAAAAAGAGTGTTTCCAAACTCCTCAATCAAAGGATAGTTTCAATTCTGTGAGACGAAAGCACACATCACAACGAAGTTTCTTAGAAAGCGTCTGTGTAGTTTTTATGTGAAGATACTTCACATTGCATCACAGTACTCAATGGTCTCAGAAATATCCCCTTGCAGATCCTACAAAAGGACTGTTTCAAAACTGCTCAATCCAAAGAAAGTTTCAACTATGTGAGATGAATGCGCACGTCACGAAGATGTTCCTCAGAATGCTTCTGTCTTGTTTACATGTGAAGAAGATTCCTATTTCACCATAGGCAATAAAGGGCTCACAAATATTTTTTGCAGATTCTCCAAAAAGACTGTATCCAAACTGCTCAATAAAAAGAAAGTTTTAACTCTGTTACATTAATGGACACATCAACAAGTAGTTTCTCAGAAAACTTCTGTGTAGTTTTTATGTGAAGATATTTCCTTTGTCACCATTGGCCTCAAAGCACTCCTAATATCCATTTACAGATGTCACAGAAAGAGTGTTTCCAAACTGCTCAATCAAAAGAAAGTGTTTAACTCTGTGAGGTGAAAGCACACATCTCAAAGAAGTTTCTCCGAAAGCTTCGGTCTAGTTTTCATGTGATGATATTTCCAGTCTCACCATAGGCCTCAAAGGGCTAAGAAATATCCCTTTCCAGGTTCTAAAAGACCACCATTTCCATACTTCTCAATCAAAAGAAAGGTTAAATTCTGTGAGGTTAATGCACACATCAGAATGAAGTTTCTCAGAATTCTCCTGTCTAGTTTTCACGTGAAGATATTTACTATTTCACTATAGGCTTCAAATGTCTCAAAAATATCCCTTTGCAGATTCTACAAAAATATGCTTTCCAAAGTGCTGAATTAAAAGAAACCTTCAACTCTGTCAGATGAATGGAGACATCACGAAGAAGTTCCTCAGAATGCATCTGTCTAGTTTAAATGTGAAGACATTTCTTTTTCACCATAGACCTCAAAGGGCTCAGAGTTAGACCTTTGCAGATTGCAGAGAAAGACTGTCTCTAAACTGCTCAAATAAAATAAAGTTTCAACACGGCGAGATGAACGCACACATCACAAAGAAGTTCCTCAGAAGGCTTCTGTCTGGTTTTAATGTGAAGATATTTCCTTTTTCACCATAGGCCTTACACCGCTCACGAATATCCTTCTGCAGATACTATAAAAAGACTGTTTCCAAACTGCTCCATCAAAAGAAAATTTCACCTATCTGAGATGAATGCACACATCATACAGAAGTTCCTCAGAATTGCTTCTGTCTAGTTTTTATGTGAAGATGTTTCCATTTTCACCTTAGGCCACAAAGCGCCCCAAACATCCGTTTGCAGATGATACGAAAAGACTGTTTCCAAACTGCTCAATCAAGATTAATTTTCAACTCTGTGAGATGAAAGCACACATCACAAAAAAGTTTCTCAGAAATCTTCTGTCTCGCTTTTATCTCAAGATAATTCCTATTTTGCCATAGGAATCAAGGGGCTCACATATACCCCTTTGCAGATTCTACAAATGTTCTCCTTACAAACTTCTCAATCAAAAGAAACGTTCAACATTGTGAGATGAATGAACACATTCCAAAGACGTTTCTCAGGTTGCTTCTGTCTGGTTGCTATGTGAAGATGTTTCCTTTTTCACCATAGTCTTTAAGCCCCTCAAAAATATCTGTCTGCAGACTCTACCAAAAGACTGTTTCCAAACTGGCCCATATAGCATGTTTCAACTATGTGAAATGAATGCACTCATCAAAAAGAAGTTTCTCAGGATTCTCCTGTCTAGTTTTTATGTGAAGATATTTCCTTTTTCACCGTAGGCCACAAATTGCTCCAAATATCCATTTGCAGATTCTACAAAAAGAATGTTCCCAAACTGGTCAATCAAAGGAAAGGCGCAACTCTGTGAGACGAAAGCACACATCACAAAGAAGTTTCTCGGAAAGCCTCTGTCTGCATTTTATGTGAAGGTATTTCCTTTGGCACCATAGGCCTTAAACCGCTCGCAAATATAACTCCACTTATACTACCAAGAGACTTTCTCCAAATTGCTAAATCAAAAGAAAGGTTCAACTCTGTGAGATGAATACACACATCAAAAAGAAGTTTCTCAAAATGCTTCTGTCTAGTTTTCATGGGAAGATATTTATTTTTCACCGTTGGCCCCAAACCGCTCAGAAATATCCCTTTGCAGTTTGTAGAAAAAGACTGCTTCCAAACTGCTCAATGAAAGGAAATGGTCAACTATTAGAGATGAATGGAAATGTCACAAAGAGTTTTCTCAAAAAGCTACTGTGTCGTTTTTATGTGAAGACATTGCCTTTGGCACCCTAGGCCTTAAAACTCTCTATATACACATTCACAGATTCTACAAAAAGATTGATTCCAAACTGCTCAATCAGAAGAAGGGTTCAATTCCGTGTGACAAACGTGCACATCACCAAGGAATTTGTCAGAAAGCTTTCTGTCTACTTTTTATGTGAAGATATTTCATATTCCAACAAAGGCCATAAAGGGCTCACAAATATCCCTTCGCAGATTCTAAGAAAAGACGTTTTCCAAACTCCTCAATCAAAAGAAAGGTTTAACTCTGTGAGATGAATGGACACATCACGAAGAAGTTTCTCAGAAAGCTTCTGTCTAGTTTTTCTGTGAAGATATTTCTTTTTCACCATAGGCCTCAAGCAGCTAAGAAATTTCCCTCTGCAGCTTCTACCAAAGGCTGTTTCCAAACTGCTCAACTGAAAGAAAGGTTGAATTCTGTGACATGAATTCACACATCACAAAGAGGTTTTTCAGAAATCTTCTGTCTGGTTTTTAGGTGACGATACTTCCTTTTTCAGCACGGGACTCAAATATCTCCAAATATCCATTTGCAGATTCTACAGAGAGACTTTCCAAACTGCTCAATCAAAAGAAAGGTTCAACACTGTGAGATGAAGGCACACATCACCAAGAAGTTTCTCAGAAACCTTCTGTCTAGTTTTTAGGTGAAGATACTTCGTATTTCACCACAGGCCATAAAGGGCTCACAAATATCCCTCTGCAGGTTCTACAAAAAGACTGTTTCCAAACTGCCCAATCAAAGGAGAGGTTCAACTCTGTGACGTGAATGGACACATCACAAAAAATTTCTTGGAATGCTTCCGTCTAGTTCTTATGGGAAGATATTTCTCTTTCACCATAGGCCTCAAACGGATCAGAATTCTCCCTTTGCAGATTGTACGATAAGCCTCTTTCCAATCTGCTCAATCAAAAGAAAGTTTCCACTCGGTGAGGTGAATGCACACATCGCAAGGGAGTTTCTCAGAAAGCTTCTGTTTAGTTTTTACGTGAAGATATTTCGTTTTTCACCACGGGCCTCAAAAGCTCTCCAAATATCCATTTGCAGACACTAGAAAAAGAGTGTTTCCAAACTCCTCAATCAAAGGATAGTTTCAATTCTGTGAGACGAAAGCACACATCACAACGAAGTTTCTTAGAAAGCGTCTGTCTAGTTTTTATGTGAAGATACTTCACATTGCATCACAGTACTCAATGGGCTCAGAAATATCCCCTTGCAGATCCTACAAAAGGACTGTTTCAAAACTGCTCAATCCAAAGAAAGTTTCAACTATGTGAGATGAATGCGCACGTCACGAAGACGTTCCTCAGAATGCTTCTGTCTTGTTTACATGTGAAGAAGATTCCTCTTTCACCATAGGCAATAAAGGGCTCACAAATATTTTTGCAGATTCTACAAAAAGACTGTATCCAAACTGCTCAATAAAAAGAAAGTTTTAACTCTGTTACATCAATGGACACATCAACAAGTAGTTTCTCAGAAAACTTCTGTGTAGTTTTTATGTGAAGATACTTCCTTTGTCACCATTGGCCTCAAAGCACTCCTAATATCCATTTACAGATGTCACAGAAAGAGTGTTTCCAAACTGCTCAATCAAAAGAAAGTGTTTTACTCTGTGAGGTGAAAGCACACATCTCAAAGAAGTTTCTCCGAAAGCTTCGGTCTAGTTTTCATGCGATGATATTTCCAGTCTCACCATAGGCCTCAAAGGGCTAAGAAATATCCCTTTCCAGATTCTAAAAGACCACCATTTCCATACTTCTCAATCAAAAGAAAGGTTAAATTCGGTGAGGTTAATGCACACATCAGAATGAAGTTTCTCAGAATTCTCCTGTCTAGTTTTCATGTGAAGATATTTACTATTTCACTATAGGCTTCAAATGTCTCAAAAATATCCCTTTGCAGATTCTACAAAAATATGCTTTCCAAAGTGCTGAATTAAAAGAAACCTTGAACTCTGTCAGATGAATGGAGACATCACGAAGAAGTTCCTCAGAATGCTTCTGTCTAGTTTAAATGTGAAGACAATTCTTTTTCACCATAGACCTCAAAGGGCTCAGAGTTAGACCTTTGCAGATTGCAGAGAAAGACTGTCTCTAAACTGCTCAAATAAAATAGAGTTTCAACACGGTGAGATGAACGCACACATCACAAAGAAGTTCCTCAGAAGGCTTCTGTCTGGTTTTTATGTGAAGATATTTCCTTTTCCACCATAGGCCTTACACCGCTCACAAATATCCTTTTGCAGATACTGGAAAAAGACTGTTTCCAAACTGCTCCATCAAAAGAAAATTTCACCCATCTGAGATGAATGCACACATCATAAAGAAGTTCCTCAGAATTCTTCTGTCTAGTTTTTATGTGAAGATGTTTCCATTTTCACCTTAGGCCACAAAGCGCTCCAAACATCCGTTTGCAGATGATACGAAAAGACTGTTTCCAAACTGCTCAATCAAAAGAAATTTTCAACTCTGTGAGATGAGAGCACACATCACAAAAAAGTTTCTCAGAAATCTTCTGTCTCGCTTTTATCTCAAGATAATTCCTATTTTGCCATAGGAATCAAGGGGCTCACATATATCCCTTTGCGGATTCTACAAAAGTTCTCTTTACAAACTTCTCAATCAAAAGAAACGTTCAACATTGGGAGATGAATGAACACATCCCAAAGAAGTTTCTCAGGTTGCTTCTGTCTGGTTGCTATGTGAAGATGTTTCCTTTTTCACCATAGTCTTTAAGCCACTCAAAAATATCTGTCTGCAGACTCTACAAAAAGACTCTTTCCAAACTGGCCCATATGGCATGTTTCAACTATGTGAAACGAATGCACTCATCAAAAAGTAGTTTTTCAGGAGTCTCCTGTCTAGTTTTCATGTGAAGATATTTCCTTTTTCACCGTAGGCCACAAATTGCTCCAAATATCCATTTGCAGATTCTACAAAAAGAATGTTCCCAAACTGGTCAATCAACAGAAAGGCGCAACTCTGTGAGACGAAAGCACACATCACAAAGAAGTTTCTCGGAAATCCTCTGTCTACATTTTATGTGAAGGTATTTCCTTTGGCACCATAGGCCTTAAACCGCTCGCAAATATAACTCCACTTATACTACCAAGAGACTTTCTCCAAATTGCTAAATCAAAAGAAAGGTTCAACTCTGTGAGATGAATACACACATCAAAAAGAAGTTTCTCAAAATGCTTCCGTCTAGTTTTCATGGGAAGATATTTATTTTTCACCATTGGCCCCAAACCGCTCAGAAATATCCCTTTGCAGTTTGTAGAAAAAGACTGCTTCCAAACTGCTCAATGTAAGGAAATGGCCAACTATTAGAGATGAATGGAAATGTCACAAAGAGTTTTCTCAAAAAGCCACTGTGTCGTTTTTATGTGAAGACATTGCCTCTTGCACCCTAGGCCTTAAAACTCTCTAAATACACATTCACAGATTCTACAAAAAGACTGATTCCAAACTGCTCAATCAGAAGAAGGGTTCAATTTCCGTGTGACAAACGTGCACATCACCAAGAAATTTGTCAGAAAGCCTCTGTCTACTTTTTATGTGAAGATATTTCATATTTCAACAAAGGCCATAAAGGGCTCACAAATATCCCTTCGCAGATTCTAAGAAAAGACGTTTTCCAAACTCCTCAATCAAAAGAAAGGTTTAACTCTGTGAGATGAATGGACACATCACGAAGAAGTTTCTCAGAAAGCTTCTGTCTAGTTTTTCTGTGAAGATATTTCTTTTTCACCATAGGCCTCAAGCAGCTAAGAAATTTCCCTCTGCAGCTTCTACCAAAGACTGTTTCCAAACTGCTCAACTGAAAGAAAGGTTGAATTCTGTGACATGAATTCACACATCACAAAGAGGTTTTTAAGAAATCTTCTGTCTGGTTTTTAGGTGACGATACCTCCTTTTTCACCACGGGCCTCAAATATCTCCAAATATCCATTTGCAGATTCTACAGAAAGACTTTCCAAACTGCTCAATCAAAAGAAGGTTCAACACTGTGAGATGAAGGCACACATCACCAAGAAGTTTCTCAGAAACCTTCTGTCTAGTTTTTAGGTGAAGATACTTCGTATTTCACCACAGGCCATAAAGGGCTCACAAATATCCCTTTGCAGGTTCTACAAAAAGACTGTTTCCAAACGGCTCAATCAAAGGAGAGGTTCAACTCTGTGACGTGAATGGACACATCACAAACAATTTCTTGGAATGCTTCCGTCTAGTTTTTATGGGAAGATATTTCTCTTTCACCATAAGCCTCAAACGGATCAGAATTCTCCCTTTGCAGATTGTACGATAAGCCTCTTTCCAATCTGCTCAATCAAAAGAAAGTTTCCACTCGGTGAGGTGAATGCACACATCGCAAGGGAGTTTCTCAGAAAGCTTCTGTTTAGTTTTTACGTGAAGATATTTCGTTTTTCACCACGGGCCTCAAAAGCTCTCCAAATATCCATTTGCAGATTCTAGAAAAAGAGTGTTTCCAAACTCCTCAATCAAAGGATAGTTTCAATTCTGTGAGATGAAAGCACACATCACAACGAAGTTTCTTAGAAAGCTTCTGTGTAGTTTTTATGTGAAGATACTTCACATTGCATCACAGTACTCAATGGGCTCAGAAATATCCCCTTGCAGATCCTACAAAAGGACTGTTTCAAAACTGCTCAATCCAAAGAAAGTTTCAACTATGTGAGATGAATGCGCACGTCACGAAGACGTTCCTCAGAATGCTTCTGTCTACTTTATATGTGAAGAAGATTCCTATTCCACCATAGGCAATAAAGGGCTCACAAATATGTTTTGCAGATTCTACAAAAAGACTGTACCCAAACTGCTCAATAAAAAGAAAGTTTTAACTCTGTTAGGTTAATGGACACATCAAAAAGTAGTTTCTCAGAAAACTTCTGTGTAGTTTTTATGTGAAGATACTTCCTTTGTCACCATTGGCCTCAAAGCACTCCTAATATCCATTTACAGATGTCACAGAAAGAGTGTTTCCAAACTGCTCCATCAAAAGAAAGTGTTTAACTCTGTGAGGTGAAAGCACACATCTCAAAGAAGTTTCTCCGAAAGCTTCGGTCTAGTTTTCATGTGATGATATTTCCAGTCTCACCATAGGCCTCAAAGGGCTAAGAAATATCCCTTTCCAGATTCTAAAAGACCACCATTTCCATACTTCTCAATCAAAAGAAAGGTTAAATTCTGTGAGGTTAATGCACACATCAGAATGAAGTTTCTCAGAATTCTCCTGTCTAGTTTTCATGTGAAGATATTTACTATTTCACTATAGGCTTCAAATGTCTCAAAAATATCCTTTTGCAGATTCTACAAAAATATGCTTTCCAAAGTGCTGAATTAAAAGAAACCTTCAACTCTGTCAGATGAATGGAGACATCACAAAGAAGTTCCTCAGAATGCTTCTGTCTAGTTTAAATGGGAAGATATTTCTTTTTCACCATAGACCTCAAAGGGCTCAGAATTAGACCTTTGCAGATTGCAGAGAAAGACTGTCTCTAAACTGCTCAAATAAAATAAAGTTTCAACACGGTGAGATGAATGCACACCTCACAAAGAAGTTCCTCAGAAAGCTTCTGTCTGGTTTTTATGTGAAGATATTTCCTTTTTCACCATAGGCCTTACACCGCTCACAAATATCCTTCTGCAGATACTAGAAAAAGACTGTTTCCAAACTGCTCCATCAAAAGAAAATTTCACCTATCTGAGATGAATGCACACATCATAAAGAAGTTCCTCAGAATTCTTCTGTCTAGTTTTTATGTGAAGATGTTTCCATTTTCACCTTAGGCCACAAAGCGCTCCAAACATCCGTTTGCAGATGATACGAAAAGACTGTTTCCAAACTGCTCAGTGAAAAGAAATTTTCAACTCTGTGAGATGAAAGCACACATCACGAAAAAGTTTCTCAGAAATCTTCTATCTCGCTTTTATCTCAAGATGATTCCTATTTTGCCATAGGAAATCAAGGGGCTCACATATATCCCTTTGCAGATTCTACAAATGTTCTCCTTACAAACTTCTCAATCAAGAGCAACGTTCAACATTGTGAGATGAATGAACACATCCCAAAGACGTTTCTCAGGTTGCTTCTGTCTGGTTGCTATGTGAAGATGTTTCCTTTTTCACCATAGTCTTTAAGCCACTCAAAAATATCTGTCTGCAGACTCTACCAAAAGACCGTTTCCAAACTGGCCCATATAGCATGTTTCAACTATGTGAAATGAATGCACTCATCAAAAAGAAGTTTCTCAGGATTCTCCTGTCTAGTTTTTATGTGAAGATATTTCCTTTTTCACCGTAGGCCACAAATTGCTCCAAATATCCATTTGCAGATTCTACAAAAAGAATGTTCCCAAACTGGTCAATCAAAAGAAAGGCGCAACTCTGTGAGACGAAAGCACACATCACAAAGAAGTTTCCCGGAAAGCTTCTGTCTACATTTTATGTGAACGTATTTCCTTTGGCACCATAGGCCTTAAACCGCTCACAAATATAACTCCAATTAAACGACCTAGAGACTTTCTCCAGATTGCTAAATCAAAAGAAAGGTTCAACTCTGTGAGATGAATACACACATCAAAAAGAAGTTTCTCAAAATGCTTCTGTCTAGTTTTCATGGGAAGATATTTATTTTTCACCGTTGGCCCCAAACCGCTCAGAAATATCCCTTTGCAGTTTGTAGGAAAAGACTGCTCCCAAACTGCTCAATGAAAGGAAATGGTCAACTATTAGAGATGAATGGAAATGTCACAAAGAGTTTTCTCGAAAATCTACTGTGTCGTTTTTATGTGAAGACATTGCCTTTTGCACCCTAGGCCTTAAAACTCTCTAAATGCACATTCACAGATTCTACAAAAAGACTGATTCCAAACTGCTCAATCAGAAGAAGGGTTCAATTCCGTGTGACAAACGTGCACATCACCAAGAAATTTGTCAGAAAGCTTCTGTCTACTTTTTATGTGAAGATATTTCATATTTCAACAAAGGCCATAAAGGGCTCACAAATATCCCTTCGCAGATTCTAAGAAAAGACGTTTTCCAAACTCCTCAATCAAAAGAAAGTTTTAACTCTGTGAGATGAATGGACACATCACGAAGAAGTTTCTCAGAAAGCTTCTGTCTAGTTTTTCTGTGACGATATTTCTTTTTCACCATAGGCCTCAAGCAGCTAAGAAATTTCTCTCTGCAGCTTCTACCAAAGACTGTTTCC
This sequence comes from Homo sapiens, assembly GCF_000001405.40. Taxonomy (NCBI): domain Eukaryota; kingdom Metazoa; phylum Chordata; class Mammalia; order Primates; family Hominidae; genus Homo; species Homo sapiens. The sequence continues at coordinate 16,270,281 of NC_000014.9, read as the reverse complement.
AAACTGCTCACCTGAAAGAAAGGTTGAATTCTGTGACATGAATTCACACATCACAAAGAGGTTTTTCAGAAATCTTCTGTCTGGTTTTTAGGTGGCGATACTTCCTTTTTCAGCACGGGCCTCAAATATCTCCAAATATCCATTTGCAGATTCTACAGAAAGACTTTCCAAACTGCTCAATCAAAAGAAAGGTTCAACACTGTGAGATGAAGGCACACATCACCAAGAAATTTCTCAGAAACTTTCTGTCTAGTTTTTAGGTGAAGATACTTCGTATTTCACCACAGGCCATAAAGGGCTCACAAATATCCCTTTGCAGGTTCTACAAAAAGACTGTTTCCAAACTGCTCAATCAAAGGAGAGGTTCAACTCTGTGACGTGAATGGACACATCATAAAAAATTTCTTGGAATGCTTCCGTCTAGTTCTTATGGGAAGATATTTCTCTTTCACCATAAGCCTCAAACGGATCAGAATTCTCCCTTTGCAGATTGTACAATAAGCCTCTTTCCAATCTGCTCAATCAAAAGAAAGTTTCCACTCGGTGAGGTGAATGCACACATCGCAAGGGAGTTTCTCAGAAAGCTTCTGTTTAGTTTTTACGTGAAGGTATTTCGTTTTTCACCACGGGCCTCAAAAGCTCTCCAAATATCCATTTGCAGATTCTAGAAAAAGAGTGTTTCCAAACTCCTCAATCAAAGGATAGTTTCAATTCTGTGAGAGGAAAGCAGACATCACAACGAAGTTTCTTAGAAAGCCTCTGTGAAGTTTTTATGTGAAGATACTTCACATTGCATCACAGTACTCAAGGGGCTCAGAAATATCCCCTTGCAGATCCTACAAAAGGACTGTTTCAAAACTGCTCAATCCAAAGAAAGTTTCAACTATGTGAGACGAATGCACACGTCACGAAGAAGTGCCTCAGAATGCTTCTGTCTAGTTTATATGTGAAGAAGATTCCTATTCCACCATAGGCAATAAAGGGCTCACAAATATGTTTTGCAGATTCTACAAAAAGACTGTATCCAAACTGCTCAATAAAAATAAAGTTTTAACTCTGTTTGATTAATGGACACATCGAAAGGTAGTTTCTCAGAAAACTTCTGTGTAGTTTTTATGTGAAGATACTTCCTTTGTCACCATTGGCCTCAAAGCACTCCTAATATCCATTTACAGATGTCACAGAAAGAGTGTTTCCAAACTGCTCAATCAAAAGAAAGTGTTTAACTCTGTGAGGTGAAAGCACACATCTCAAAGAAGTTTCTCCGAAAGCTTCGGTCTAGTTTTCATGTGATGATATTTCCAGTCTCACCATAGGCCTCAAAGGGCTAAGAAATATCCATTTCCAGATTCTAAAAGACCACCATTTCCATACTTCTCAATCAAAGGAAAGGTTAAATTCTGTGAGGTTAATGCACACATCAGAATGAAGTTTCTCAGAATTCTCCTGTCTAGTTTTCATGGGAAGATATTTACTATTTCACTATAGGCTTCAAATGTCTCAAAAATATCCCTTTGCAGATTCTACAAAAATATGCTTTCCAAAGTGCTGAATTAAAAGAAACCTTCAACTCTGTCAGATGAATGGAGACATCACAAAGAAGTTCCTCAGAATGCTTCTGTCTAGTTGAAATGTGAAGACATTTCTTTTTCACCATAGACCTCAAAGGGCTCAGAATTAGACCTTTGCAGATTGCAGAGAAAGACTGTCTCTAAACTGCTCAAATAAAATAAAGTTTCAACACGGTGAGATGAATGCACACCTCACAAAGAAGTTCCTCAGAAAGCTTCTGTCTGGTTTTTATGTGAAGATATTTCCTTTTCCACCATAGGCCTTACACCGCTCACAAATATCCTTTTGCAGATACTAGAAAAAGACGGTTTCCAAACTGCTCCATCAAAAGAAAATTTCACCCATCTGAGATGAATGCACACATCATAAAGAAGTTCCTCAGAATTCTTCTGTCTAGTTTTTATGTGAAGAATGTTTCCATTTTCACCTTAGGCCACAAAGCGTTCCAAACATCCGTTTGCAGATGATACGAAAAGACTGTTTCCAAACTGCTCAATCAAAAGAAATTTTCAACTCTGTGAGATGAAAGCACACATCACAAAAAAGTTTCTCAGAAATCTTCTGTCTCGCTTTTATCTCAAGATAATTCCTATTTTGCCATAGGAATCAGGGGGCTCACATATATCCCTTTGCGGATTCTACAAAAGTTCTCTTTACAAACTTCTCAATCAAAAGAAACGTTCAACATTGGGAGATGAATGAACACATCCCAAAGAAGTTTCTCAGGTTGCTTCTGTCTGGTTGCTATGTGAAGATGTTTCCTTTTTCACCATAGTCTTTAAGCCACTCAAAAATATCTGTCTGCAGACTCTACCAAAAGACTGTTTCCAAACTGGCCCATATAGCATGTTTCAACTATGTGAAATGAATGCACTCATCAAAAAGAAGTTTCTCAGGATTCTCCTGTCTAGTTTTTATGTGAAGATATTTCCTTTTTCACCGTAGGCCACAAATTGCTCCAAATATCCATTTGCAGATTCTACAAAAAGAATGTTCCCAAACTGGTCAATCAAAAGAAAGGCGCAACTCTGTGAGACGAAAGCACACATCACAAAGGAGTTTCTCGGAAAGCTTCTGTCTACATTTTATGTGAACGTATTTCCTTTGGCACCATAGGCCTTAAACCGCTCGCAAATATAACTCCAATTAAACGACCTAGAGACTTTCTCCAGATTGCTAAATCAAAAGAAAGGTTCAACTCTGTGAGATGAATACACACATCAAAAAGAAGTTTCTCAAAATGCTTCTGTCTAGTTTTCATGGGAAGATATTTATTTTTCACCGTTGGCCCCAAACCGCTCAGAAATATCCCTTTGCAGTTTGTAGAAAAAGACTGCTTCCAAACTGCTCAATGAAAGGAAATGGCCAACTATTAGAGATGAATGGAAATGTCACAAAGAGTTTTCTCAAAAAGCTACTGTGTCGTTTTTATGTGAAGACATTGCCTTTGGCACCCTAGGCCTTAAAACTCTCTCAATACACATTCACAGATTCTACAAAAAGACTGATTCCAAACTGCTCAATCAGAAGAAGGGTTCAATTCCGTGTGGCAAACGTGCACATCACCAAGGAATTTGTCAGAAAGCTTCTGTCTACTTTTTATGTGAAGATATTTCATATTTCAACAAAGGCCATAAAGGGCTCACAAATATCCCTTCGCAGATTCTAAGAAAAGACGTTTGCCAAACTCCTCAATCAAAAGAAAGGTTTAACACTGTGAGATGAATGGACACATCACGAAGAAGTTTCTCAGAAAGCTTCTGTCTAGTTTTTCTGTGAAGATATTTCTTTTTCACCATAGGCCTCAAGCAGCTAAGAAATTTCCCTCTGCAGCTTCTACCAAAGACTGTTTCCAAACTGCTCAACTGAAAGAAAGGTTGAATTCTGTGACATGAATTCACACATCACAAAGAGGTTTTTCAGAAATCTCCTGTCTGGTTTTTAGGTGAAGATACTTCCTTTTTCACCACGGGCCTCAAATATCTCCAAATATCCATTTGCAGATTCTACAGAAAGACTTTCCAAACTGCTCAATCAAAAGAAAGGTTCAACACTGTGAGATGAAGGCACACATCACCAAGAAGTTTCTCAGAAATCTTCTGTCTAGTTTTTAGGTGAAGATACTTCGTATTTCACCACAGGCCATAAAGGGCTCACAAATATCCCTTTGCAGGTTCTACAAAAAGACTGTTTCCAAACTGATCAATCAAAGGAGAGGTTCAACTCTGTGACGTGAATGGACACATCACAAACAATTTCTTGGAATGCTTCCGTCTAGTTCTTATGGGAAGATATTTCTCTTTCACCATAAGCCTCAAACGGATCAGAATTCTCCCTTTGCAGATTGTACGATAAGCCTCTTTCCAATCTGCTCAATCAAAAGAAAGTTTCCACTCGGTGAGGTGAATGCACACATCGCAAGGGAGTTTCTCACAAAGCTTCTGTTTAGTTTTTACGTGAAGATATTTCGTTTTTCACCACGGGCCTCTAAAGCTCTCCAAATATCCATTTGCAGATTCTAGAAAAAGAGTGTTTCCAAACTCCTCAATCAAAGGATAGTTTCAATTCTGTGAGATGAAAGCACACATCACAACGAAGTTTCTTAGAAAGCTTCTGTGTAGTTTTTATGTGAAGATACTTCACATTGCATCACAGTACTCAATGGGCTCAGAAATATCCCCTTGCAGATCCTACAAAAGGACTGATTCAAAACTGCTCAATCCAAAGAAAGTTTCAACTATGTGAGATGAATGCACACGTCACGAAGACGTTCCTCAGAATGCTTCTGTCTTGTTTACATGTGAAGAAGATTCCTATTTCACCATAGGCAATAAAGGGCTCACAAATATTTTTTGTGAGATTCTCCAAAAATACTGTATCCAAACTGCTCAATAAAAAGAAAGTTTTAACTCTGTTACATTAATGGACACATCAACAAGTAGTTTCTCAGAAAACTTCTGTGTACTTTTTATGTGAAGATACTTCCTTTGTCACCATTGGCCTCAAAGCACTCCTAATATCCATTTACAGATGTCACAGAAAGAGTGTTTCCAAACTGCTCAATCAAAAGAAAGTGTTTAACTCTGTGAGGTGAAAGCACACATCTCAAAGAAGTTTCTCCGAAAGCTTCGGTCTACTTTTCATGTGAAGATATTTCCAGTTTCACCGTAGGCCTCAAAGGGCTAAGAAATATCCCTTTCCAGATTCTAAAAGACGACCGTTTCCATACTTCTCAATCAAAAGAAAGGTTAAATACTCTGAGGTTAATGTCCACGTCAGAATGAAGTTTCTCAGAATTCTCCTGTCTAGTTTTCATGTGAAGATATTTACTATTTCACTATAGGCTTCAAATATCTCAAAAATATCCCTTTGCAGATTCTACAAAAATATGCTTTCCAAAGTGCTGAATTAAAAGAAACCTTCAACTCTGTCAGGTGAATGGAGACATCACGAAGAAGTTCCTCAGAATGCTTCTGTCTAGTTTAAATGTGAAGACATTTCTTTTTCACCATAGACCTCAAAGGGCTCAGAGTTAGACCTTTGCAGATTGCAGAGAAAGACTGTCTCTAAACTGCTCAAATAAAATAAAGTTTCAACACGGTGAGATGAACGCACACATCACAAAGAAGTTCCTCAGAAGGCTTCTGTCTGGTTTTTATGTGAAGATATTTCCTTTTTCACCATAGGCCTTACACCGCTCACGAATATCCTTCTGCAGATACTATAAAAAGACGGTTTCCAAACTGCTCCATCAAAAGAAAATTTCACCTATCTGAGATGAATGCACACATCATAAAGAAGTTCCTCAGAATTCTTCTGTCTAGTTTTTATGTGAAGGTGTTTCCATTTTCACCTTAGGCCACAAAGCGCCCCAAACATCCATTTGCAGATGATACGAAAAGACTGTTTCCAAACTGCTCAATCAAAAGAAATTTTCAACTCTGTGAGATGAAAGCACACATCACAAAAAAGTTTCTCAGAAACCTTCTGTCTCGCTTTTATCTCAAGATAATTCCTATTTTGCCATAGGAATCAAGGGGCTCACATATATCCCTTTGCGGATTCTACAAAAGTTCTCTTTACAAACTTCTCAATCAAAAGAAACGTTCAACATTGGGAGATGAATGAACACATCCCAAAGAAGTTTCTCAGGGTTGCTTCTGTCTGGTTGCTATGTGAAGATGTTTCCTTTTTCACCATAGTCTTTTAGCCACTCAAAAATATCTGTCTGCAGACTCCACAAAAAGACTGTTTCCAAACTGGCCCATATAGCATGTTTCAACGATGTGAAATGAATGCACTCATCAAAAAGAAGGTTCTCAGGATTCTCCTGTCTAGTTTTTATGTGAAGATATTTCCTTTTTCACCGTAGGCCACAAATTGCTCCAAATATCCATTTGCAGATTCTACAAAAAGAATGTTCCCAAACTGGTCAATCAAAAGAAAGGCGCAACTCTGTGAGATGAAAGCACACATCACAAAGAAGTTTCCCGGAAAGCTTCTGTCTACATTTTATGTGAAGGTATTTCCTTTGGCACCATAGGCCTTAAACCGCTCGCAAATATAACTCCACTTATACTACCTAGAGACTTTCTCCAGATTGCTAAATCAAAAGAAAGGTTCAACTCTGTGAGATGAATACACACATCAAAAAGAAGTTCCTCAAAATGCTTCTGTCTAGTTTTCATGGGAAGATATTTATTTTTCACCGTTGGCCCCAAACCGCTCAGAAATATCCCTTTGCAGTTTGTAGAAAAAGACTGCTTCCAAACTGCTCAATGAAAGGAAATGGTCAACTATTAGAGATGAATGGAAATGTCACAAACAGTTTTCTCAAAAAGCTACTGTGTCGTTTTCATGTGAAGACATTGCCTTTGGCACCCTAGGCCTTAAAACTCTCTAAATGCACATTCACAGATTCTACAAAAAGACTGATTCCAAACTGCTCAATCAGAAGAAGGGTTCAATTCCGTGTGACAAACGTGCACATCACCAAGAAATTTGTCAGAAAGCTTCTGTCTACTTTTTATGTGAAGATATTTCATATTTCAACAAAGGCCAAAAAGGGCTCACAAATATCCCTTCGCAGATTCTAAGAAAAGACGTTTTGCAAACTCCTCAATCAAAAGAAAGGTTTAACTCTGTGAGATGAATGGACACATCACGAAGAAGTTTCTCAGAAAGCTTCTGTCTAGTTTTTCTTTGAAGATATTTCTTTTTCACCATAGGCCTCAAGCAGCTAAGAAATTTCCCTCTGCAGCTTCTACCAAAGACTGTTTCCAAACTGCTCACCTGAAAGAAAGGTTGAATTCTGTGACATGAATTCACACATCACAAAGAGGTTTTTCAGAAATCTTCTGTCTGGTTTTTAGGTGACGATACTTCCTTTTTCAGCACGGGCCTCAAATATCTCCAAATATCCATTTGCAGATTCTACAGAGAGACTTTCCAAACTGCTCAATCAAAAGAAAGGTTCAACACTGTGAGATGAAGGCACACATCACCAAGAAGTTTCTCAGAAACCTTCTGTCTAGTTTTTAGGTGAAGATACTTCGTATTTCACCACAGGCCATAAAGGGCTCACAAATATCCCTCTGCAGGTTCTACAAAAAGACTGTTTCCAAACTGATCAATCAAAGGAGAGGTTCAACTCTGTGACGTGAATGGACACATCACAAACAATTTCTTGGAATGCTTCCGTCTAGTTCTTATGGGAAGATATTTCTCTTTCACCATAAGCCTCAAACGGATCAGAATTCTCCCTTTGCAGATTGTACAATAAGCCTCTTTCCAATCTGCTCAATCAAGAGAAAGTTTCCACTCGGTTAGGTGAATGCACACATCACAAGGGAGTTTCTCAGAAAGCTTCTGTTTAGTTTTTACGTGAAGATATTTCGCTTTTCACCACGGGCCTCAAAAGCTCTCCAAATATCCATTTGCAGATTCTAGAAAAAGAGTGTTTCCAAACTCCTCAATCAAAGGATAGTTTCAATTCTGTGAGATGAAAGCACACATCACAACGAAGTTTCTTAGAAAGCGTCTGTCTAGTTTTTATGTGAAGATACTTCACATTGCATCACAGTACTCAATGGGCTCAGAAATATCCCCTTGCAGATCCTACAAAAGGACTGTTTCAAAACTGCTCAATCCAAAGAAAGTTTCAACTATGTGAGATGAATGCACACGTCACGAAGAAGTTCCTCAGAATGCTTCTGTCTTGTTTACATGTGAAGAAGATTCCTATTTCACCATAGGCAATAAAGGGCTCACAAATATTTTTTGCAGATTCTACAAAAAGACTGTATCCAAACTGCTCAATAAAAAGAAAGTTTTAACTCTGTTACATCAATGGACACATCAACAAGTAGTTTCTCAGAAAACTTCTGTGTAGTTTTTATGTGAAGATACTTCCTTTGTCACCATTGGCCTCAAAGCACTCCTAATATCCATTTACAGATGTCACAGAAAGAGTGTTTCCAAACTGCTCAATCAAAAGATAGTGTTTTACTCTGTGAGGTGAAAGCACACATCTCAAAGAAGTTTCTCCGAAAGCTTCGGACTAGTTTTCATGTGATGGTATTTCCAGTCTCACCATAGGCCTCAAAGGGCTAAGAAATATCCCTTTCCAGGTTCTAAAAGACCACCATTTCCATACTTCTCAATCAAAAGAAAGGTTAAATTCTGTGAGGTTAATGCACACATCAGAAGGAAGTTTCTCAGAATTCTCCTGTCTAGTTTCCATGTGAAGATATTTACTATTTCACTATAGGCTTCAAATGTCTCAAAAATATCCCTTTGCAGATTCTACAAAAATATGCTTTCCAAAGTGCTGAATTAAAAGAACCCTTCAACTCTGTCAGATGAATGGAGAGGCATCACAACGAAGATCCTCAGAATGCTTCTGTCTAGTTGAAATGTGAAGACATTTCTTTTTCACCATAGACCTCAAAGGGCTCAGAATTAGACCTTTGCAGATTGCAGAGAAAGACTGTCTCTAAACTGCTCAAATAAAATAAAGTTTCAACACGGTGAGATGAATGCACACATCACAAAGAAGTTCCTCAGAAAGCTTCTGTCTGGTTTTTATGTGAAGATATTTCCTTTTTCACCATAGGCCTTACACCGCTCACAAATATCCTTCTGCAGATACTATAAAAAGACGGTTTCCAAACTGCTCCATCAAAAGAAAATTTCACCTATCTGAGATGAATGCACACATCATAAAGAAGTTCCTCAGAATTCTTCTGTCTAGTTTTTATGTGAAGATGTTTCCATTTTCACCTTAGGCCACAAAGCGCCCCAAACATCCGTTTGCAGATGATACGAAAAGACTGTTTCCAAACTGCTCAATCAAGAGAAATTTTCAACTCTGTGAGATGAAAGCACACATCACAAAAAAGTTTCTCAGAAATCTTCTGTCTCGCTTTTATCTCAAGATAATTCCTATTTTGCCATAGGAAACAAGGGGCTCACATATACCCCTTTGCAGATTCTACAAATGTTCTCCTTACAAACTTCTCAATCAAAAGAAACGTTCAACATTGTGAGATGAATGAACACATCCCAAAGACGTTTCTCAGGTTGCTTCTGTCTGGTTGCTATGTGAAGATGTTTCCTTTTTCACCATAGTCTTTAAGCCACTCAAAAATATCTGTCTGCAGACTCTACAAAAAGACTGTTTCCAAACTGGCCCATATGGCATGTTTCAACTATGTGAAATGAATGCACTCATCAAAAAGAAGTTTCTCAGGAGTCTCCCTGTCTAGTTTTCATGTGAAGATATTTCCTTTTTCACCGAAGGCCACAAATTGCTCCAAATATCCATTTGCAGATTGTACGAAAAGAATGTTCCCAAACTGGTCAATGAAAAGAAAGGCGCAACTCTGTGAGACGAAAGCACACATCACAAAGAAGTTTCTCGGAAAGCTTCTGTCTGCATTTTATGTGAAGGTATTTCCTTTGGCACCATAGGCCTTAAACCGCTCGCAAATATGACTCCACTTATACTACCAAGAGACTTTCTCCAAATTGCTAAATCAAAAGAAAGGTTCAACTCTGTGAGATGAATACACACATCAAAAAGAAGTTTCTCAAAATGCTTCTGTCTAGTTTTCATGGGAAGATGTTTATTTTTCACCGTTGGCCCCAAACCGCTCAGAAATATCCCTTTGCAGTTTGTAGAAAAAGACTGCTTCCAAACTGCTCAATGAAAGGAAATGGCCAACTATTAGAGATGAATGGAAATGTCACAAAGAGTTTTCTCAAAAAGCTACTGTGTCGTTTTTATGTGAAGACATTGCCTTTGGCACCCTAGGCCTTAAAACTCTCTAAATACACATTCACAGATTCTACAAAAAGACTGATTCCAAACTGCTCAATCAGAAGAAGGGTTCAATTCCGTGTGACAAACGTGCACATCACCAAGGAATTTGTCAGAAAGCTTCTGTCTACTTTTTATGTGAAGATATTTCATATTTCAACAAAGGCCATAAAGGGCTCACAAATATCCTTTCGCAGATTCTAAGAAAAGACGTTTTCCAAACTCCTCAATCAAAAGAAAGGTTTAACTCTGTGTGATGAATGGACACATCATGAAGAAGTTTCTCAGAAAGCTTCTGTCTAGTTTTTCTGTGAAGATATTTCTTTTTCACCATAGGCCTCAAGCAGCTAAGAAATTTCCCTCTGCAGCTTCTACCAAAGACTGTTTCCAAACTGCTCAACTGAAAGAAAGGTTGAATTCTGTGACATGAATTCACACATCACAAAGAGGTTTTCCAGAAATCTTCTGTCTGGTTTTTAGGTGACGATACTTCCTTTTTCAGCACGGGCCTCAAATATCTCCAAATATCCATTTGCAGATTCTACAGAAAGACTTTCCAAACTGCTCAATCAAAAGAAAGGTTCAACACTGTGAGATGAAGGCACACATCACCAAGAAGTTTCTCAGAAACCTTCTGTCTAGTTTTTAGGTGAAGATACTTCGTATTTCACCACAGGCCATAAAGGGCTCACAAATATCCCTTTGCAGGTTCTACAAAAAGACTGTTTCCAAACTGCCCAATCAAAGGAGAGGTTCAACTCTGTGACGTGAATGGACACATCACAAAAAATTTCTTAGAATGCTTCCGTCTAGTTCTTATGGGAAGATATTTCTCTTTCACCATAAGCCTCAAACGGATCAGAATTCTCCCTCTGCAGATTGTACGATAAGCCTCTTTCCAATCTGCTCAATCAAAAGAAAGTTTCCACTCGGTGAGGTGAATGCACACATCGCAAGGGAGTTTCTCAGAAAGCTTCTGTTTAGTTTTTACGTGAAGATATTTCGTTTTTCACCACGGGCCTCAAAAGCTCTCCAAATATCCATTTGCAGATTCTAGAAAAAGAGTGTTTCCAATCGCCTCAATCAAAGGATAGCTTCAATTCTGTGCGATGAAAGCACACATCACAACGAAGTTTCTTAGAAAGCATCTGTCTAGTTTTTATGTGAAGATACTTCACATTGCATCACAGTACTCAATGGGCTCAGAAATATCCCCTTGCAGATCCTACAAAAGGACTGTTTCAAAACTGCTCAATCCAAAGAAAGCTTCAACTATGTGACACGAATGCACACGTCATGAAGACCTTCCTCAGAATGCTTCTGTCTTGTTTACATGTGAAGAAGATTCCTATTTCACCATAGGCAATAAAGGGCTCACAAATATTTTTGCAGATTCTACAAAAAGACTGTATCCAAACTGCTCAATAAAAAGAAAGTTTTAACTCTGTTACATCAATGGACACATCAACAAGTAGTTTCTCAGAAAACTTCTGTGTAGTTTTTATGTGAAGATACTTCCTTTGTCACCATTGGCCTCAAAGCACTCCTAATATCCATTTACAGATGTCACAGAAAGAGTGTTTCCAAACTGCTCAATCAAAAGAAAGTGTTTAACTCTGTGAGGTGAAAGCACACATCTCAAAGAAGTTTGTCCGAAAGCTTCGGTCTACTTTTCATGTGAAGATATTTCCAGTTTCACCGTAGGCCTCAAAGGGCTAAGAAATATCCCTTTCCAGATTCTAAAAGACGACCGTTTCCATACTTCTCAATCAAAAGAAAGGTTAAATTCTCTGAGGTTAATGCCCACGTCAGAATGAAGTTTCTCAGAATTCTCCTGTCTAGTTTTCATGGGAAGATATTTACTATTTCACTATAGGCTTCAAAAGTCTAAAAAATATCCCTTTGCAGATTCTACAAAAATATGCTTTCCAAAGTGCTGAATTAGAAGAAACCTTCAACTCTGTCAGATGAATGGAGGCATCACAACGAAGTTCCTCAGAATGCTTCTGTCTAGTTTAAATGTGAAGATATTTCTTTTTCACCATAGACCTCAAAGGGCTCAGAATTAGACCTTTGCAGATTGCAGAGAAAGACTGTCTCTAAACTGCTCAAATAAAATAAAGTTTCAACACGGTGAGATGAATGCACACATCACAAAGAAGTTCCTCAGAAAGCTTCTGTCTGGTTTTAATGTGAAGATATTTCCTTTTTCACCATAGGCCTTACACCGCTCACGAATATCCTTCTGCAGATACTATAAAAAGACTGTTTCCAAACTGCTCCATCAAAAGAAAATTTCACCTATCTGAGATGAATGCACACATCATACAGAAGTTCCTCAGAATTCTTCTGTCTAGTTTTTATGTGAAGATGTTTCCATTTTCACCTTAGGCCACAAAGCGCTCCAAACATCCGTTTGCAGATGATACGAAAAGACTGTTTCCAAACTGCTCAATCAAAAGAAATTTTCAACTCTGTGAGATGAAAGCACACATCACGAAAAGTTTCTCAGAAATCTTCTGTCTCGCTTTTATCTCAAGATGATTCCTATTTTGCCATAGGAATCAAGGGGCTCACATATACCCCTTTGCAGATTCTACAAATGTTCTCCTTACAAACTTCTCAATCAAGAGAAACGTTCAACATTGTGAGATGAATGAACACATCCCAAAGACGTTTCTCAAGTTGCTTCTGTCAGGTTGCTATGTGAAGATGTTTCCTTTTTCACCATAGTCTTTAAGCCACTCAAAAATATCTGTCTGCAGACTCTACCAAAAGACTGTTTCCAAACTGGCCCACATAGCATGTTTCAACTATGTGAAATGAATGCACTCATCAAAAAGAAGTTTCTCAGGATTCTCCGGTCTAGTTTTTATGTGAAGATATTTCCTTTTTCACCGTAGGCCACAAATTGCTCCAAATATCCATTTGCAGATTCTACAAAAAGAATGTTCCCAAACTGGTCAATCAAAAGAAAGGCGCAACCCTGTGAGACGAAAGCACACATCACAAAGGAGTTTCTCGGAAAGCTTCTGTCTACATTTTATGTAAAGGTATTTCCTTTGGCACCATAGGCCTTAAACCGCTCACAAATATGACTCCACTTATACTACCAAGAGACTTTCTCCAAATTGCTAAATCAAAAGAAAGGTTCAACTCTGTGAGATGAATACACACATCAAAAAGAAGTTTCTCAAAATGCTTCTGTCTAGTTTTCATGGGAAGATATTTATTTTTCACCGTTGTCCCCAAACCGCTCCGAAATATCCCTTTGCAGTTTGTAGAAAAAGACTGCTTCCAAACTGCTCAATGAAAGGAAATGGTCAACTATTAGAGATGAATGGAAATGTCACAAAGAGTTTTCTCAAAAAGCTACTGTGTCGTTTTTATGTGAAGACATTGCCTTTGGCACCCTAGGCCTTAAAACTCTCTATATACACATTCACAGATTCTACAAAGAGACTGATTCCAAACTGCTCAATCAGAAGAAGGGTTCAATTCCGTGTGACAAACGTGCACATCACCAAGGAATTTGTCAGAAAGCTTCTGTCTACTTTTTATGTGAAGATATTTCATATTTCAACAAAGGCCATAAAGGGCTCACAAATATCCCTTCGCAGATTCTAAGAAAAGACATTTTCCAAACTCCTCAATCAAAAGAAAGGTTTAACTCTGTGAGATGAATGGACACATCACGAAGAAGTTTCTCAGAAAGCTTCTGTCTAGTTTTTCTGTGAAGATATTTCTTTTTCACCATAGGCCTCAAGCAGCTAAGAAATTTCCCTCTGCAGCTTCTACCAAAGACTGTTTCCAAACTGCTCACCTGAAAGAAAGGTTGAATTCTGTGACATGAATTCACACATCACAAAGAGGTTTTTCAGAAATCTTCTGTCTGGTTTTTAGGTGAAGATACTTCCTTTTTCACCACGGGCCTCAAATATTTCCAAATATCCATTTGCAGATTCTACAGAAAGACTTTGCAAACTGCTCAATCAAAAGAAAGGTTCAACACTGTGAGATGAAGGCACACATCACCAAGAAGGTTCTCAGAAACCTTCTGTCTAGTTTTTAGGTGAAGATACTTCGTATTTCACCACAGGCCATAAAGGGCTCACAAATATCCCTTTGCAGGTTCTACAAAAAGACTGTTTCCAAACTGCTCAATCAAAGGAGAGGTTCAACTCTGTGACGTGAATGGACACATCACAAAAAATTTCTTGGAATGCTTCCGTCTAGTTTTTATGGGAAGATATTTCTCTTTCACCATAAGCCTCAAACGGATCAGAATTCTCCCTTTGCAGGTTGTACGATAAGCCTCTTTCCAATCTGCTCAATCAAAAGAAAGTTTCCACTCGGTGAGGTGAATGCACACATCGCAAGGGAGTTTCTCAGAAAGCTTCTGTTTAGTTTTTACGTGAAGATATTTCGTTTTTCACCACGGGCCTCAAAAGCTCTCCAAATATCCATTTGCAGATTCTAGAAAAAGAGTGTTTCCAAACTCCTCAATCAAACGATAGTTTCAATTCTGTGAGATGAAAGCACACATCACAACGAAGTTTCTTAGAAAGCGTCTGTGTAGTTTTTATGTGAAGATACTTCACATTGCATCACAGTACTCAATGGGCTCAGAAATATCCCCTTGCAGATCCTACAAAAGGACTGTTTCAAAACTGCTCAATCCAAAGAAAGTTTCAACTATGTGAGATGAATGCACACGTCACGAAGACGTTCCTCAGAATGCTTCTGTCTAGTTTATATGTGAAGAAGATTCCTATTTCACCATAGGCAATAAAGGGCTCACAAATATGTTTTGCAGATTCTACAAAAGGACTGTATCCAAACTGCTCAATAAAAAGAAAGTTTTAACTCTTTTAGGTTAATGGACACATCAAAAAGTAGTTTCTCAGAAAACTTCTGTGTAGTTTTTATGTGAAGATATTTCCTTTGTCACCATTGGCCTCAAAGCACTCCTAATATCCATTTACAGATGTCACAGAAAGAGTGTTTCCAAACTGCTCAATCAAAAGAAAGTGATTAACTCTGTGAGGTGAAAGCACACATCTCAAAGAAGTTTCTCCGAAAGCTTCGGACTAGTTTTCATGTGATGATATTTCCAGTCTCACCATAGGCCTCAAAGGGCTAAGAAATATCCCTTTCCAGGTTCTAAAAGACCACCATTTCCATACTTCTCAATCAAAAGAAAGGTTAAATTCTGTGAGGTTAATGCACACATCAGAATGAAGTTTCTCAGAATTCTCCTGTCTAGTTTTCATGGGAAGATATTTACTATTTCACTCTAGGCTTCAAATGTCTCAAAAATATCCCTTTGCAGATTCTACAAAAATATGCTTTCCAAAGTGCTGAATTAAAAGAAACCTTCAACTCTGTCCGATGAATGGAGAGGCATCACAACGAAGTTCCTCAGAATGCTTCTGTCTAGTTTAAATGGGAAGATATTTCTTTTTCACCATAGACCTCAAAGGGCTCAGAATTAGACCTTTGCAGATTGCAGAGAAAGACTGTCTCTAAACTGCTCAAATAAAATAAAGTTTCAACACGGTGAGATGAATGCACACCTCACAAAAAGTTCCTCAGAAAGCTTCTGTCTGTTTTTTATGTGAAGATATTTCCTTTTTCACCATAGGCCTTACACCGCTCACAAATATCCTTCTGCAGATACTAGAAAAAGACTGTTTCCAAACTGCTCCATCAAAAGAAAATTTCACCCATCTGAGATGAATGCACACATCATAAAGAGGTTCCTCAGAATTCTTCTGTCTAGTTTTTATGTGAAGGTGTTTCCATTTTCACCTTAGGCCACAAAGCGCCCCAAACATCCATTTGCAGATGATACGAAAAGACTGTTTCCAAACTGCTCAATCAAAAGAATTTTTCAACTCTGTGAGATGAAAGTACACATCACAAAAAAGTTTCTCAGAAATCTTCTGTCTGGCTTTTATCTCAAGATAATTCCTATTTTGCCATAGGAATCAAGGGGCTCACATATATCCCTTTGCAGATTCTACAAAAGTTATCCTTACAAACTTCTCAATCAAAAGAAACGTTCATCATTGTGAAGTGAATGAACACATCCCAAAGACGTTTCTCAGGTTGCTTCTGTCTGGTTGCTATGTGAAGATGTTTCCTTTTTCACCATAGTCCTTAAGCCCCTCAAAAATATCTGTCTGCAGACTCTACCAAAAGACTGTTTCCAAACTGGCCCATATAGCATGTTTCAACTATGTGAAATGAATGCACTCATCAAAAAGAAGTTTCTCAGGATTCTTCTGTCTAGTTTTTATGTGAAGATATTTCCTTCTTCACCGCAGGCCGCAAATTGCTCCAAATATCCATTTGCGGATTCTACAGAAAGAATGTTTCCAAACTGGTCAATCAACAGAAAGGCTCAACTCTGTGAGACGAAAGCACACATCACAAAGAAGTTTCTCAGAAAGCTTCTGTCTGCATTTTATGTGAAGGTATTTCCTTTGGCACCATAGGCCTTAAACCGCTCGCAAATATAACTCCACTTATACTACCAAGAGACTTTCTCCAAATTGCTAAATCAAAAGAAAGGTTCAACTCTGTAAGATGAATACACACATCAAAAAGAAGTTTCTCAAAATGCTTCTGTCTAGTTTTCATGGGAAGATATTTATTTTTCACCGTTGGCCCCAAACCGCTCAGAAATATCCCTTTGCAGTTTGTAGAAAAAGACTGCTTCCAAACTGCTCAATGTAAGGAAATGGCCAACTATTAGAGATGAATGGAAATGTCACAAAGAGTTTTCTCAAAAAGCCACTGTGTCGTTTTTATGTGAAGACATTGCCTTTTGCACACTAGGCCTTAAAACTCTCTAAATGCACATTCACAGATTCTACAAAAAGACTGATTCCAAACTGCTCAATCAGAAGAAGGGTTCAATTCCGTGTGACAAACGTGCACATCACCAAGAAATTTGTCAGAAAGCTTCTGTCTACTTTTTATGTGAAGATATTTCATATTTCAACAAAGGCCATAAAGGGCTCACAAATATCCCTTCGCAGATTCTAAGAAAAGACGTTTTCCAAACTCCTCACTCAAAAGAAAGGTTTAACACTGTGAGATGAATGGACACATCACGAAGAAGTTTCTCAGAAAGCTTCTGTCTAGTTTTTCTGTGAAGATACTTCTTTTTCACCATAGGCCTCAAGCAGCTAAGAAATTTCCCTCTGCAGCTTCTACCAAAGACTGTTTCCAAACTGCTCAACTGAAAGAAAGGTTGAATTCTGTGACATGAATTCACACATCACAAAGAGGTTTTTCAGAAATCTTCTGTCTGGTTTTTAGGTGACGATACTTCCTTTTTCACCACGGGCCTCAAATATCTCCAAATATCCATTTGCAGATTCTACAGAAAGACTTTCCAAACTGCTCAATCAAAAGAAAGGTTCAACACTGTGAGATGAAGGCACACATCACCAAGAAGTTTCTCAGAAACCTTCTGTCTAGTTTTTAGGTGAAGATACTTCGTATTTCACCACAGGCCATAAAGGGCTCACAAATATCCCTTTGCAGGTTCTACAAAAAGACTGTTTCCAAACTGCTCAATCAAAGGAGAGGTTCAACTCTGTGACGTGAATGGACACATCACAAACAATTTCTTGGAATGCTTCCGTCTAGTTTTTATGGGAAGATATTTCTCTTTCACCATAAGCCTCAAACGGATCAGAATTCTCCCTTTGCAGATTGTACGATAAGCCTCTTTCCAATCTGCTCAATCAAAAGAAAGTTTCCTCTCGGTGAGGTGAATGCACACAACGCAAGGGAGTTTCTCAGAAAGCTTCTGTTTAGTTTTTACGTGAAGATATTTCGTTTTTCACCACGGGCCTCTAAAGCTCTCCAAATATCCATTTGCAGATCCTAGAAAAAGAGTGTTTCCAAACTCCTCAATCAAAGGATAGTTTCAATTCTGTGAGATGAAAGCACACATCACAACGAAGTTTCTTAGAAAGCTTCTGTCCAGTTTTTATGTGAAGATACTTCACATTGCATCACAGTACTCAATGGGCTCAGAAATATCCCCTTGCAGATCCTACAAAAGGACTGTTTCAAAACTGCTCAATCCAAAGAAAGTTTCAACTATGTGAGACGAATGCACACGTCACGAAGAAGTTCCTCAGAATGCTTCTGTCTAGTTTATATGTGAAGAAGATTCCTATTCCACCATAGGCAATAAAGGGCTCACAAATATGTTTTGCAGATTCTACAAAAAGACTGTATCCAAACTGCTCAATAAAAAGAAAGTTTTAACTCTGTTAGGTTAATGGACACATCAAAAAGTAGTTTCTCAGAAAACTTCTGTGTAGTTTTTCTGTGAAGATACTTCCTTTGTCACCATTGGCCTCAAAGCACTCCTAATATCCATTTACAGATGTCACAGAAAGAGTGTTTCCAAACTGCTCCATCAAAAGAAAGTGTTTAACTCTGTGAGGTGAAAGCACACATCTCAAAGGAGTTTCTCCGAAAGCTTCGGTCTAGTTTTCATGTGATGATATTTCCAGTCTCACCATAGGCCTCAAAGGGGTAAGAAATATCCCTTTCCAGATTCTAAAAGACCACCATTTCCATACTTCTCAATCAAAAGAAAGGTTACATTCTGTGAGGTTAATGCACACATCAGAATGAAGTTTCTCAGAATTCTCCTGTCTAGTTTTCATGTGAAGATATTTACTATTTCACTATAGGCTTCAAATGTCTCAAAAATATCCCTTTGCAGATTCTACAAAAATATGCTTTCCAAAGTGCTGAATTAAAAGAAACCTTCAACTCTGTCAGATGAATGGAGGCATCACAACGAAGTTCCTCAGAATGCTTCTGTCTAGTTTAAATGTGAAGACATTTCTTTTTCACCATAGACCTCAAAGGGCTCAGAATTAGACCTTTGCAGATTGCAGAGAAAGACTGTCTCTAAACTGCTCAAATAAAATAAAGTTTCAACACGGTGAGATAAATGCACACCTCACAAAGAAGTTCCTCAGAAAGCTTCTGTCTGGTTTTTATGTGAAGATATTTCCTTTTTCACCATAGGCCTTACACCGCTCACAAATATCCTTCTGCAGATACTAGAAAAAGACTGTTTCCAAACTGCTCCATCAAAAGAAAATTTCACCCATCTGAGATGAATGCACACATCATAAAGAAGTTCCTCAGAATTCTTCTGTCTAGTTTTTATGTGAAGATGTTTCCATTTTCACCTTAGGCCACAAAGCGCCCCAAACATCCGTTTGCAGATGATACGAAGAGACTGTTTCCAAACTGCTCAATCAAGAGAAATTTTCAACTCTGTGAGATGAAAGCACACATCACAAAAAAGTTTCTCAGAAATCTTCTGTCTCGCTTTTATCTCAAGATGATTCCTATTTTGCCATAGGAATCAAGGGGCTCACATATACCCCTTTGCAGATTCTACAAATGTTCTCCTTACAAACTTCTCAATCAAGAGAAACGTTCAACATTGTGAGATGAATGAACACATCCCAAAGACGTTTCTCAGGTTGCTTCTGTCTGGTTGCTATGTGAAGATGTTTCCTTTTTCACCATGGTCTTTAAGCCACTCAAAAATACCTGTCTGCGGACTCTACAGTAAGACTGATTCCAAACTGGCCCATATAGCATGTTTCAACTATGTGAAATGAATGCACTCATCAAAAAGAAGTTTCTCAGGATTCTCCTGTCTAGTTTTTATGTGAAGATATTTCCTTTTTCACCGTAGGCCACAAATTGCTCCAAATATCCATTTGCAGATTCTACAAAAAGAATGTTCCCAAACTGGTCAATCAAAAGAAAGGCGCAACTCTGTGAGACGAAAGCACACATCACAAAGAAAGTTTCTCGGAAAGCCTCTGTCTACATTTTATGTGAAGGTATTTCCTTTGGCACCATAGGCCTTAAACCGCTCGCAAATATAACTCCACTTATACTACCTAGAGACTTTCTCCAGATTGCTAAATCAAAAGAAAGGTTCAACTCTGTGAGATGAATACACACATCAAAAAGAAGTTTCTCAAAATGCTTCTGTCTAGTTTTCATGGGAAGATATTTATTTTTCACCGTTGGCCCCAAACCGCTCAGAAATATCCCTTTGCAGTTTGTAGAAAAAGACTGCTTCCAAACTGCTCAATGAAAGGAAATGGTCAACTATCAGAGATGAATGGAAATGTCGCAGAGAGTTTTCTCAAAAAGCTACTGTGTCGTTTTTATGTGAAGACATTGCCTTTGGCACCCTAGGCCTTAAAACTCTCTAAATACACATTCACAGATTCTACAAAAAGACTGATTCCAAACTGCTCAATCAGAAGAAGGGTTCAATTCCGTGTGGCAAACGTGCACATCACCAAGGAATTTGTCAGAAAGCTTCTGTCTACTTTTTATGTGAAGATATTTCATATTTCAACAAAGGCCATAAAGGACTCACAAATATCCCTTCGCAGATTCTAAGAAAAGACGTTTTCCAAACTCCTCAACCAAAAGAAAGGTTTAACTCTGTGAGATGAATGGACACATCACGAAGAAGTTTCTCAGAAAGCTTCTGTCTAGTTTTTCTGTGAAGATATTTCTTTTCCACAATAGGCCTCAAGCAGCTAAAAAATTTCCCTCTGCAGCTTCTACCAAAGACTGTTTCCAAACTGCTCACCTGAAAGAAAGGTTGAATTCTGTGACATGAATTCACACATCACAAAGAGGTTTTTCAGAAATCTTCTGTCTGTTTTTTAGGTGAAGATACTTCCTTTTTCACCACGGGCCTCAAATATCTCCAAATATCCATTTGCAGATTCTACAGAAAGACGTTGCAAACTGCTCAATCAAAAGAAAGGTTTAACACTGTGAGATGAAGGCACCCATCACCAAGAAGTTTCTCAGAAACCTTCTGTCTAGTTTTTAGGTGAAGATACTTCGTATTTCACCACAGGCCATAAAGGGCTCACAAATATCCCTTTGCAGGTTCTACAAAAAGACTGTTTCCAAACTGCTCAATCAAAGGAGAGGTTCAACTCTGTGACGTGAATGGACACATCATAAAAAATTACTTGGAATGCTTCCGTCTAGTTTTTATGGGAAGATATTTCTCTTTCACCATAAGCCTCAAACGGATCAGAATTCTCCCTTTGCAGATTGTACGATAAGCCTCTTTCCAATCTGCTCAATCAAAAGAAAGTTTCCACTGGGTGAGGTGAATGCACACATCGCAAGGGAGTTTCTCAGAAAGCTTCTGTTTAGTTTTTACGTGAAGATATTTCGTTTTTCACCACTGGCCTCAAAAGCTCTCCAAATATCCATTTGCAGATTCTAGAAAAAGAGTGTTTCCAAACTCCTCAATCAAAGCATAGTTTCAATTCTGTGAGATGAAAGCACACATCACAACGAAGTTTCTTAGAAAGCGTCTGTCTAGTTTTTATGTGAAGATACTTCACATTGCATCACAGTACTCAATGGGCTCAGAAATATCCCCTTGCAGATCCTAGAAAAGGACTGTTTCAAAACTGCTCAATCCAAAGAAAGCTTCAACTATGTGACACGAATGCACACGTCACGAAGACCTTCCTCAGAATGCTTCTGTCTAGTTTATATGTGAAGAAGATTCCTATTTCACCATAGGCAATAAAGGGCTCACAAATATGTTTTGCAGATTCTACAAAAGGACTGTATCCAAACTGCTCAATAAAAAGAAAGTTTTAACTCTGTTAGGTTAATGGACACATCAAAAAGTAGTTTCTCAGAAAACTTCTGTGTAGTTTTTATGTGAAGATACTTCCTTTGTCACCATTGGCCTCAAAGCACTCCTAATATCCATTTACAGATGTCACAGAAAGAGTGTTTCCAAACTGCTCAATTAAAAGAAAGTGTTTAACTCTGTGAGGTGAAAGCACACATCTCAAAGAAGTTTCTCCGAAAGCTTCGGTCTAGTTTTCATGTGATGATATTTCCAGTCTCACCATAGGCCTCAAAGGGCTAAGAAATATCTCTTTCCAGATTCTAAAAGACCACCATTTCCATACTTCTCAATCAAAAGAAAGGTTACATTCTGTGAGGTTAATGCACATATCAGAATGAAGTTTCTCAGAATTCTCCTGTCTAGTTTTCATGTGAAGATATTTACTATTTCACTATAGGCTTCAAATGTCTCAAAAATATCCCTTTGCAGATTCTACAAAAATATGCTTTCCAAAGTGCTGAATTAAAAGAAACCTTCAACTCTCTCAGATGAATGGAGACATCACAAAGAAGTTCCTCAGAATGCTTCTGTCTAGTTTAAATGTGAAGACATTTCTTTTTCACCATAGACCTCAAAGGGCTCAGAGTTAGACCTTTGCAGATTGCAGAGAAAGACTGTCTCTAAACTGCTCAAATAACATAAAGTTTCAACACGGTGAGATGAATGCACACATCACAAAGAAGTTCCTCAGAAAGCTTCTGTCTGGTTTTAATGTGAAGATATTTCCTTTTTCACCATAGGCCTTACACCGCTCACGAATATCCTTCTGCAGATACTATAAAAAGACTGTTTCCAAACTGCTCCATCAAAAGAAAATTTCACCTATACTGAGATGAATGCACACATCATACAGAAGTTCCTCAGAATTCTTCTGTCTAGTTTTTATGTGAAGATATTTCCATTTTCACCTTAGGCCACAAAGTGCTCCAAATATCCATTTGCAGATTATACAAAAAGACTGTTTCCAAACTGCTCAATCAAAAGAAATTTTCAACTCTGTGAGATGAAAGCACACATCACAAAGAAGTTTGCTCAGAAATCTTCTGTCTCGCTTTTATCTCAAGATAATTCCTATTTTGCCATAGGAATCAAGGGGCTCACATATATCCCTTTGCAGATTCTACAAAAGTTCTCCTTAAAAACTTCTCAATCAAAAGAAACGTTCAACATTGTGAGATGAATGAACACATCCCAAAGACGTTTCTCAGGTTGCTTCTGTCTGGTTGCTATGTGAAGATGTTTCCTTTTTCACCATAGTCTTTAAGCCACTCTAAAATACCTGTCTGCAGACTCTACAAAAAGACTGTTTCCAAACTGGCCCATATAGCATGTTTCAACTATGTGAAATGAATGCACTCATCAAAAAGGAGTTCCTCAGGATTCTCCTGTCTAGTTTTTATGTGAAGATATTTCCTTTTTCACTGTAGGCCACAAATTGCTCCAAATATCCATTTGCAGATTCTACAAAAAGAATGTTCCCAAACTGGTCAATCAAAAGAAAGGCGCAACTCTGTGAGACGAAAGCACACATCACAAAGAAGTTTCCCGGAAAGCTTCTGTCTACATTTTATGTGAAGGTATTTCCTTTGGCACCATAGGACTTAAACCGCTCGCAAACATAACTCCACTTATACTACCTAGAGACATTCTCCAGATTGCTAAATCAAAAGAAAGGTTCAACTCTGTGAGATGAATACACACATCAAAAAGAAGTTTCTCAAAATGCTTCTCTGTCTAGTTTTCATGGGAAGATATTTATTTTTCACCGTTGGCCCCAAACCGCTCCGAAATATCCCTTTGCAGTTTGTAGAAAAAGACTGCTTCCAAACTGCTCAATGAAAGGAAATGGTCAACTATTAGAGATGAATGGAAATGTCACAAAGAGTTTTCTCAAAAAGCTACTGTGTCGTTTTTATGTGAAGACATTGCCTTTGGCACCCTAGGCCTTAAAACTCTCTCAATACACATTCACAGATTCTACAAAAAGACTGATTCCAAACTGCTCAATCAGAAGAAGGGTTCAATTCCGTGTGACAAACGTGCACATCACCAAGGAATTTGTCAGAAAGCTTCTGTCTACTTTTTATGTGAAGATATTTCATATTTCAACAAAGGCCATAAAGGGCTCACAAATATCCCTTTGCAGATTCTAAGGAAAGACATTTTCCAAACTCCTCAATCAAAAGAAAGGTTTCACTCTGTGTGATGAATGGACACATCACAAAGAAGTTTCTCAGAAAGCTTCTGTCTAGTTTTTCTGTGAAGATATTTCTTTTTCACCATAGGCCTCAAGCAGCTAAGAAATTTCCCTCTGCAGCTTCTACCAAAGACTGTTTCCAAACTGCTCAACTGAAAGAAAGGTTGAATTCTGTGACATAAATTCACACATCACAAAGAGGTTTTTCAGAAATCTTCTGTCTGGTTTTTAGGTGAAGATACTTCCTTTTTCACCACGGGCCTCAAATATCTCCAAATATCCATTTGCAGATTCTACAGAAAGACTTTGCAAACTGCTCAATCAAAAGAAGGGTTCAACACTGTGAGATGAAGGCACACATCACCAAGAAGTTTCTCAGAAACCTTCTGTCTAGTTTTTAGGTGAAGATACTTCGTATTTCACCACAGGCCATAAAGGGCTCACAAATATCCCTCTGCAGGTTCTACAAAAAGACTGTTCCCAAACTGCCCAATCAAAGGAGAGGTTCAACTCTGTGACGTAAATGGACACATCACAAAAAATTTCTTGGAATGCTTCCGTCTAGTTCTTATGGGAAGATATTTCTCTTTCACCATAAGCCTCAAACGGATCAGAATTCTCCCTTTGCAGATTGTACGATAAGCCTCTTTCCAATCTGCTCAATCAAAAGAAAGTTTCCACTCGGTGAGGTGAATGCACACATCGCAAGGGAGTTTCTCAGAAAGCTTCTGTTTAGTTTTTACGTGAAGATATTTCGTTTTTCACCACTGGCCTCAAAAGCTCTCCAAATATCCATTTGCAGATTCTAGAAAAAGAGTGTTTCCAAACTCCTCAATCAAAGGATAGTTTCAATTCTGTGAGATGAAAGCACACATCACAACGAAGTTTCTTAGAAAGCTTCTGTGAAGTTTTTATGTGAAGATACTTCACATTGCATCACAGTACACAAGGGGCTCAGAAATATCCCCTTGCAGATCCTACAAAAGGACTGTTTCAAAACTGCTCAATCCAAAGAAAGTTTCAACTATGTGAGACGAATGCACACGTCACGAAGAAGTGCCTCAGAATGCTTCTGTCTAGTTTATATGTGAAGAAGATTCCTATTCCACCATAGGCAATAAAGGGCTCACAAATATGTTTTGCAGATTCTACAAAAAGACTGTACCCAAACTGCTCAATAAAAAGAAAGTTTTAACTCTGTTAGGTTAATGGACACATCAAAAAGTAGTTTCTCAAGAAAACTTCTGTTTAGTTTTTATGTGAGGATATTTCCTTTGTCACCATTGGCCTCAAAGCACTCCTAATATCCATTTACAGATATCACAAAAAGAGTGTTTCCAAACTGCTCAATCAAAAGAAAGTTTTAACTCTGTGAGATGAAAGCACACATCTCAAAGAACTTTCTCAGAAAGCTTTGGTCTAGTTTTCATGTGAAGATATTTCCAGTTTCACCATAGGCCTCAAAGGGCTAAGAAATATCCCTTTCCAAATTCTAAAAGACGAACATTTCCATACTGCTCAATCAAAAGAAAGGTTAAATTCTGTGAGGTGAATGCACACATCAGAATGAAGTTTCTCAGAATTCTCCCTGTCTAGTTTCTATGTGAAGATATTTACTATTTCACTATAGGCTTCAAAGGTCTCAAAAATATCCCTTTGCAGATTCTACAAAAATATGGTTTCCACAGTGCTGAATTAAAAGAAACCTTCAACTCTGTCAGATGAATGGGGACATCACAAAGAAGTTCCTCGGAATGCTTCTGTCTAGTTGAAATGTGAAGACATTTCTTTTTCACCATAGACCTCAAAGGGCTCAGAGTTGGACCTTGGCAGATTGCAGAGAAAGACTGTCTCTAAACTGCTCAAATAACATAAAGTTTCAACACGGTGAGATGAATGCACACATCACAAAGAAGTTCCTCAGAAAGCTTCTGTCTGGTTTTTATGTGAAGATATTTCCTTTTTCACCATAGGCCTTACACCGCTCACAAATATCCTTCTGCAGATACTATAAAAAGACTGTTTCCAAACTGCTCCATCAAAAGAAAATTTCACCTATCTGAGATGAATGCACACATCATACAGAAGTTCCTCAGAATTCTTCTGTCTAGTTTTTATGTGAAGATGTTTCCATTTTCACCTTAGGCCACAAAGCGCCCCAAACATCCGTTTGCAGATGATACGAAGAGACTGTTTCCAAACTGCTCAATCAAGAGAAATTTTCAACTCTGTGAGATGAAAGCACACATCACTAAAAAGTTTCTCAGAAATCTTCTGTCTCGCTTTTATCTCAAGATGATTCCTATTTTGCCATAGGAATCAAGGGGCTCACATATACCCCTTTGCAGATTCTACAAATGTTCTCCTTACAAACTTCTCAATCAAGAGAAACGTTCAACATTGTGAGATGAATGAACACATCCCAAAGACATTTCTCAAGTTGCTTCTGTCTGGTTGCTATGTGAAGATGTTTCCTTTTTCACCATAGCCTTTAAGCCACTCAAAAATATCTGTCTGCAGACTCTACAAAAAGACTCTTTCCAAACTGGCCCATATGGCATGTTTCAACTATGTGAAACGAATGCACTCATCAAAAAGTAGTTTTTCAGGAGTCTCCTGTCTAGTTTTTATGTGAAGATATTTCCTTTTTCACCGTAGGCCACAAATTGCTCCAAATATCCATTTGCAGATTCTACAAAAAGAATGTTCCCAAACTGGTCAATCAACAGAAAGGCGCAACTCTGTGAGACGAAAGCACACATCACAAAGAAGTTTCTCGGAAAGCCTCTGTCTACATTTTATGTGAAGGTATTTCCTTTGGCACCATAGGCCTTAAACCGCTCGCAAATATGACTCCACTTATACTACCAAGAGACTTTCTCCAAATTGCTAAATCAAAAGAAAGTTTCAACCCTGTGAGATGAATACACACATCAAAAAGAAGTTTCTCAAAATGCTTCCGTCTAGTTTTCATGGGAAGATATTTATTTTTCACCGTTGGCCCCAAACCGCTCAGAAATATCCCTTTGCAGTTTGTAGAAAAAGACTGCTTCCAAACTGCTCAATGTAAGGAAATGGCCAACTATTAGAGATGAATGGAAATGTCACAAAGAGTTTTCTCAAAAAGCTACTGTGTCGTTTTTATGTGAAGACATTGCCTTTGGCACCCTAGGCCTTAAAACTCTCTCAGTACACATTCACAGATTCTACAAAAGGACTGATTCCAAACTGCTCAATCAGAAGAAGGGTTCAATTCCGTGTGGCAAACGTGCACATCACCAAGGAATTTGTCAGAAAGCTTCTGTCTAGTTTTTATGTGAAGATATTTCATATTTCAACATAGGCCATAAAGGGCTCACAAATATCCCTTTGTAGATTCTAAGAAAAGACATTTTCCAAACTCCTCAATCAAAAGAAAGGTTTAACTCTGTGAGATGAATGGACACATCACAAAGAAGTTTCTTAGAAAGCTTCTGTCTAGTTTTTCTGTGAAGATATTTCTTTTTCACCATAGGCCTCAAGCAGCTAAGAAATTGCCCTCTGCAGCTTCTACCAAAGACTGTTTCCAAACTGCTCAACTGAAAGAAAGGTTGAATTCTGTGACATGAATTCACACATCACAAAGAGGTTTTTCAGAAATCTTCTGTCTGGTTTTTAGGTGACGATACTTCCTTTTTCACCACGGGCCTCAAATATCTCCAAATATCCATTTGCAGATTCTACAGAAAGACTTTCCAAACTGCTCAATCAAAAGAAAGGTTCAACACGGTAAGATGAAGGCACACATCACCAAGAAGTTTCTCAGAAACCTTCTGTCTAGTTTTTAGGTGAAGATACTTTGTATTTCACCACAGGCCTTAAAGGGCTCACAAATATCCCTCTGCAGGTTCTACAAAAAGACTGTTTCCAAACTGATCAATCAAAGGAGAGGTTCAACTCTGTGACGTGAATGGACACATCACAAACAATTTCTTGGAATGCTTCCGTCTAGTTCTTATGGGAAGATATTTCTCTTTCACCAGAAGCCTCAAACGGATCAGAATTCTCCCTTTGCAGATTGTACAATAAGCCTCTTTCCAATCTGCTCAATCAAAAGAAAGTTTCCACTCGGTGAGGTGAATGCACACATCGCAAGGGAGTTTCTCAGGAAGCTTCTGTTTAGTTTTTACGTGAAGATATTTCGTTTTTCACCACGGGCCTCAAAAGCTCTCCAAATATCCATTTGCAGATTCTAGAAAAAGAGTGTTTCCAAACTCCTCAATCAAAGGATAGTTTCAATTCTGTGAGATGAAAGCACACATCACAACGAAGTTTCTTAGAAAGCGTCTGTCTAGTTTTTATGTGAAGATACTTCACATTGCATCACAGTACTCAATGGGCTCAGAAATATCCCCTTGCAGATCCTACAAAAGGACTGTTTCAGAACTGCTCAATCCAAAGAAAGCTTCAACTATGTGAGACGAATGCACACGTCACGAAGAAGTTCCTCAGAATGCTTCTGTCTAGTTTATATGTGAAGAAGATTCCTATTTCACCATAGGCAATAAAGGGCTCACAAATATGTTTTGCAGATTGTACAAAAGGACTGTATCCAAACTGCTCAATAAAAAGAAGGTTTTAACTCTGTTAGGTTAATGGACATATCAAAAAGTAGTTTCTCAGAAAACTTCTGTTTAGTTTTTATGTGAAGATATTTCCTTTGTCACCATTGGCCTCAAAGCACTCCTAATATCCATTTACAGATTTCACAAAAAGAGTGTTTCCAAACAGCTCAATCAAAAGAAAGTGTTTAACTCTGTGAGGTGAAAGCACACATCTCCAAGAAGTTTCTCAGAAAGCTTCGGACTAGTTTTCATGTGATGATATTTCCAGTCTCACCATAGGCCTCAAAGGGCTAAGAAATATCCCTTTCCAGGTTCTAAAAGACCACCATTTCCATACTTCTCAATCAAAAGAAACGTTAAATTCTGTGAGGTTAATGCACACATCAGAATGAAGTTTCTCAGAATTCTCCTGTCTAGTTTCTATGTGAAGATATTTACTATTTCACTATAGGCTTCAAAGGTCTCAAAAATATCCCTTTGCAGATTCTACAAAAATATGGTTTCCACAGTGCTGAATTAAAAGAAACCTTCAAATCTGTCAGATGAATAGAGACATCACAAAGAAGTTCCTCGGAATGCTTCTGTCTAGTTTAAATGTGAAGATATTTCTCTTTCACCACAGACCTCAAATGGCTCAGAAATATGCCTTTGCAGATTGCAGAAATAGACTGTCTCTAAACTGCTCAAATAAAATAAAGTTTCAACACTGTGAGATGAATGCACACATCACAAAGAAGTTTCTCAGAAAGCTTCTGTCTGGTTTTTATGTGAAGATATTTCCTTTTTCACCATAGGCCTTACACCGCTCACAAGTATCCTTCTGCAGATACTATAAAAAGACGGTTTCCAAACTGCTCCATCAAAAGAAAATTTCACCTATCTGAGATGAATGCACACATCATAAAGAAGTTCCTCAGAATTCTTCTGTCTAGTTTTTATGTGAAGGTGTTTCCATTTTCACCTTAGGCCACAAAGCGCCCCAAACATCCATTTGCAGATGATACGAAAAGACTGTTTCCAAACTGCTCAATCAAAAGAAATTTTCAACTCTGTGAGATGAAAGCACACATCACAAAAAAGTTTCTCAGAAATCTTCTGTCTCGCTTTTATCTCAAGATAATTCCTATTTTGCCATAAGAATCAAGGGGCTCACATATACCCCTTTGCAGATGCTACAAAAGTTCTCCTTACAAACTTCTCAATCAAAAGAAACGTTCAACATTGTGAGATGAATGAACACATCCCAAACACGTTTCTCAGGTTGCTTCTGTCTGGTTGCTATGTGAAGATGTTTCCTTTTTCACCATAGTCTTTAAGCCACTCAAAAATATCTGTCTGCAGACTCTACCAAAAGACTGTTTCCAAACTGGCCCACATAGCATGTTTCAACTATGTGAAATGAATGCACTCATCAAAAAGAAGTTTCTCAGGATTCTCCTGTCTAGTTTTTATGTGAAGATATTTCCTTTTTCACCATAGGCCACAAATTGCTCCAAATATCCATTTGCAGATTCTACAAAAAGAATGTTCCCAAACTGGTCAATCAAAAGAAAGGCGCAACTCTGTGAGACGAAAGCACACATCACAAAGAAGTTTCTCGGAAAGCCTCTGTCTACATTTTATGTGAAGGTATTTCCTTTGGCACCATAGGCCTTAAACCGCTCGCAAATATAACTCCACTTATACTACCAAGAGACTTTCTCCAAATTGCTAAATCAAAAGAAAGGTTCAACTCTGTGAGATGAATACACACATCAAAAGAAGTTTCTCAAAATGCTTCTGTCTAGTTTTCATGGGAAGATATTTATTTTTCACCATTGGCCCCAAACCGCTCAGAAATATCCCTTTGCAGTTTGTAGAAAAAGACTGCTTCCAAGCTGCTGAATGAAAGGAAATGGTCAACTATTAGAGATGAATGGAAATGTCGCAAAGAGTTTTCTCGAAAAGCTACTGTGTCGTTTTTATGTGAAGACATTGCCTTTTGCACCCTAGGCCTTAAAACTCCCTAAATACACATTCACAGATTCTACAAAAAGACTGATTCCAAACTGCTCAATCAGAATAAGGGTTCAATTCCGTGTGACAAACTTGCACATCACAAAGAAATTTGTCAGAAAGCTTCTGTCTACTTTTTATGTGAAGATATTTCATATTTCAACAAAGGCCTTAAAGGGCTCACAAATATCCCTTCGCAGATTCTAAGAAAAGACGTTTTCCAAACTCCTCACTCAAAAGAAAGGTTTAACACTGTGAGATGAATGGACACATCACGAAGAAGTTTCTCAGAAAGCTTCTGTCTAGTTTTTATGTGAAGATATTTCTTTTTCACTATAGGACTCAAACGGCTAAGAAATTTCCCTTTGCAGCTTCTACAAAATACTGTTTCCAAACTGCTCAATCGAAAGAAAGGTTGAATTCTGTGACATGAATTTACACAACACAAAGAAGTTTCTCAGAAATCTTCTGTCTAGTTTTTATGTGAAGATACTTTCTTTTTCACCATGGGCCTCAAATAGTTCCAAATATCCATTTGCAGATTCGACAAACAGACTTTCCAAACTGCTCAATCAAAAGAAAGGTTCAACACTGTGAGATGAAAGCACACATCAGAAAGAATTTTCTCAGAAATCTTCTGTCTACTTTTTATGTGAAGATATTTCATATTTCAACAAAGGCCATAAAGGGCTCACAAATATCCCTTCGCAGATTCTAAGAAAAGACGTTTGCCAAACTCCTCAATCAAAAGAAAGGTTTAACTCTGTGAGATGAATGGACACATCATGAAGAAGTTTCTCAGAAAGCTTCCGTCTAGTTCTCATGGGAAGATATTTCTCTTTCACCATAAGCCTCAAACGGATCAGAATTCTCCCTTTGCAGATTGTACGATAAGCCTCTTTCCAATCTGCTCAATCAAAAGAAAGTTTCCACTCGCTGAGGTGAATGCACACATCGCAAGGGAGTTTCTCAGAAAGCTTCTGTTTAGTTTTTACGTGAAGATATTTCGTTGTTCACCACGGGCCTGAAAAGCTCTCCAAATATCCCTTTGCAGATTCTAGAAAAAGAGTGTTTCCAAACTCCTCCATCAAAGGATAGTTTCAATTCTGTGAGATGAAAGCACACATCACAACGAAGTTTCTTAGAAAGCGTCTGTGTAGTTTTTATGTGAAGATACTTCACATTGCATCACAGTACTCAATGGGCTCAGAAATATCCCCTTGCAGATCCCACAAAAGGACTGTTTCAAAACTGCTCAATCCAAAGAAAGTTTCAACTATGTGAGATGAATGCACACGTCACGAAGACGTTCCTCAGAATGCTTCTGTCTAGTTTATATGTGAAGAAAATTCCTATTTCACCATAGGCAATAAAGGGCTCACAAATATTTTTGGCAGATTCTACAAAAATACTATATCCAAACTGTTAAATAAAAAGAAAGTTTCAACTCTGTTAGATTAATGGACACATCAAAAAGTAGTTTCTCAGAAAACTTCTGTTTAGTTTTTACATGAAGATATATCCTTTGTCACCATTGGCCTCAAAGTGCTCCTAATATCCATTTACAGATTTCACAAAAAGAGTGTTTCTAAACTGCTCAATCAAAAGAAAGTTTTAACTCTGTGAGATGAAAGCACACATTTCAAAGAAATTTCTCAGAAAGCTTCGGTCTAGTTTTCATGTGAAGATATTTCCAGTTTCACCATAGGCCTCAAAGGGCTAAGAAATATCCCTTTGCAGATTCTAAAAGAGGACCATTTCCATACTGCTCAATCAAAATAAAGGTTAAATTCTGTGAGGTGAATGCACACATTAGAATGAAGTTTCTCAGAATTCTCCTGTCTAGTTTTCATGTGAAGATATTTACTATTTCACTATAGGCTTCAAATGTCTCAAAAATATCCCTTTGCAGATTCTACAAAAATATGCTTTCCAAAGTGCTGAATTAAAAGAAACCTTCAACTCTGTCAGATGAATGGAGACATCACAAAGAAGTTCCTCAGAATGCTTCTGTCTAGTTTAAATGTGAAGACATTTCTTTTTCACCATAGACCTTAAAGGGCTCAGAGTTAGACCTTTGCAGATTGCAGAGAAAGACTGTCTCTAAACTGCTCAAATAACTTAAAGTTTCAACACGGTGAGATGAATGCACACATCACAAAGAAGTTCCTCAGAAAGCTTCTGTCTGGTTTTTATGTGAAGATATTTCCTTTTTCACCATAGGCCTTACACCGCTCACAAATATCCTTCTGCAGATACTAGAAAAAGACTGTTTCCAAACTGCTCCATCAAAAGAAAATTTCACCCATGTGAGATGAATGCACACATCATAAAGAAGTTCCTCAGAATTCTTCTGTCTAGTTTTTATGTGAAGATGTTTCCATTTTCACCTTAGGCCACAAAGCGCTCCAAACATCCGTTTGCAGATGATACGAAAAGACTGTTTCCAAACTGCTCAATCAAAAGAAATTTTCAACTCTGTGAGATGAAAGCACACATCACAAAAAAGTTTCTCAGAAATCTTCTGTCTCGCTTTTATCTCAAGATGATTCCTATTTTGCCATAGGAATCAAGGGGCTCACATATACCCCTTTGCAGATTCTACAAATGTTCTCCTTACAAACTTCTCAATCAAGAGAAACGTTCAACATTGTGAGATGAATGAACACATCCCAAAGACATTTCTCAGGTTGCTTCTGTCTGGTTGCTATGTGAAGATGTTTCCTTTTTCACCATAGTCTCTAAGCCCCTCAAAAATATCTGTCTGCAGACTCTACCAAAAGACTGTTTCCAAACTGGCCCATATAGCATGTTTCAACTATGTGAAATGAATGCACTCATCAAAAAGAAGTTTCTCAGGATTCTCCTGTCTAGTTTTCATGTGAAGATATTTCCTTTTTCACCGTAGGCCACAAATTGCTCCAAATATCCATTTGCAGATTCTACAAAAAGAATGTTCCCAAACTGGTCAATCAAAAGAAAGGCGCAACTCTGTGAGACGAAAGCACACATCACAAAGAAGTTTCTCGGAAAGCCTCTGTCTGCATTTTATGTGAAGGTATTTCCTTTGGCACCATAGGCCTTAAACCGCTCGCAAATATAACTCCACTTATACTACCAAGAGACTTTCTCCAAATTGCTAAATCTAAAGAAAGGTTCAACTCTGTGAGATGAATACACACATCAAAAAGAAGTTTCTCAAAATGCTTCTGTCTAGTTTTCATGGGAAGATATTTATTTTTCACCGTTGGCCCCAAACCGCTCAGAAATATCCCTTTGCAGTTTGTAGAAAAAGACTGCTTCCAAACTGCTCAATGAAAGGAAATGGCCAACTATTAGAGATGAATGGAAATGTCACAAAGAGTTTCCTCAAAAAGCTACTGTGTCGTTTTTATGTGAAGACATTGCCTTTTGCACCCTAGGCCTTAAAACTCTCTAAATACACATTCACAGATTCTACAAAAAGACTGAATCCAAACTGCTCAATCAGAAGAAGGGTTCAATTCCGTGTGACAAACGTGCACATCACCAAGAAATTTGTCAGAAAGCTTCTGTCTACTTTTTATGTGAAGATATTTCATATTGCAACAAAGGCCATAAAGGGCTCACAAATATCCCTTCGCAGATTCTAAGAAAAGACGTTTTCCAAACTCCTCAATCAAAAGAAAGGTTTAACTCTGTGAGATGAATGGACACATCACGAAGAAGTTTCTCAGAAAGCTTCTGTCTAGTTTTTCTGTGAAGATATTTCTTTTTCACCATAGGCCTCAAGCAGCTAAGAAATTTCCCTCTGCAGCTTCTACCAAAGACTGTTTCCAAAATGCTCAACTGAAAGAAAGGTTGAATTCTGTGACATGAATTCACACATCACAAAGAGGTTTTTCAGAAATCTTCTGTCTGGTTTTTAGGTGAAGATACTTCCTTTTTCACCACGGGCCTCAAATATCTCCAAATATCCATTTGCAGATTCTACAGAAAGACTTTGCAAACTGCTCAATGAAAAGAAAGGTTCAACACTGTGAGATGAAGGCACACATCACCAAGAAGTTTCTCAGAAACCTTCTGTCTAGTTTTTAGGTGAAGATACTTCGTATTTCACCACAGGCCTTAAAGGGCTCACAAATATCCCTCTGCAGGTTCTACAAAAAGACTGTTTCCAAACTGATCAATCAAAGGAGAGGTTCAACTCTGTGACGTGAATGGACACATCACAAACAATTTCTTGGAATGCTTCCGTCTAGTTCTTATGGGAAGATATTTCTCTTTCACCAGAAGCCTCAAACGGATCAGAATTCTCCCTTTGCAGATTGTACAATAAGCCTCTTTCCAATCTGCTCAATCAAAAGAAAGTTTCCACTCGGTGAGGTGAATGCACACACTTCGCAAGGGAGTTTCTCAGGAAGCTTCTGTTTAGTTTTTACGTGAAGATATTTCGTTTTTCACCACGGACCTCAAAAGCTCTCCAAATATCCATTTGCAGACTCTAGAAAAAGAGTGTTTCCAAACTCCTCAATCAAAGGATAGTTTCAATTCTGTGAGACGAAAGCACACATCACAACGAAGTTTCTTAGAAAGCGTCTGTCTAGTTTTTATGTGAAGATACTTCACATTGCATCACAGTACTCAATGGGCTCAGAAATATCCCCTTGCAGATCCTACAGAAGGACTGTTTCAAAACTGCTCAATCCAAAGAAAGCTTCAACTATGTGAGACGAATGCACACGTCACGACGACCTTCCTCAGAATGCTTCTGTCTAGTTTATATGTGAAGAAGATTCCTATTCCACCATAGGCAATAAAGGGCTCACAAATATGTTTTGCAGATTCTACAAAAAGACTGTACCCAAACTGCTCAATAAAAAGAAAGTTTTAACTCTGTTAGGTTAATGGACACATCAAAAAGTAGTTTCTCAGAAAACTTCTGTGTACTTTTTATGTGAAGATACTTCCTTTGTCACCATTGGCCTCAAAGCACTCCTAATATCCATTTACAGATGTCACAGAAAGAGTGTTTCCAAACTGCTCAATCAAAAGAAAGTGTTTAACTCTGTGAGGTGAAAGCACACATCTCAAAGAAGTTTGTCCGAAAGCTTCGGTCTAGTTTTCATGTGATGATATTTCCAGTCTCACCATAGGCCTCAAAGGGCTAAGAAATATCCCTTTCCAGATTCTAAAAGACCACCATTTCCATACTTCTCAATCAAAAGAAAGGTTAAATTCTGTGAGGTTAATGCACACATCAGAATGAAGTTTCTCAGAACTCTCCTGTCTAGTTTTCATGTGAAGATATTTACTATTTCACTATAGGCTTCAAATGTCTCAAAAATATCCCTTTGCAGATTCTACAAAAATATGCCTTCCAAAGTGCTGAATTAAAAGAAACCTTCAACTCTGTCAGATGAATGGAGACATCACAAAGAAGTTCCTCAGAATGCTTCTGTCTAGTTTAAATGTGAAGATATTTCTTTTTCACCATAGACCTCAAAGGGCTCAGAATTAGACCTTTGCAGATTGCAGAGAAAGACTGTCTCTAAACTGCTCAAATAAAATAAAGTTTCAACACGGTGAGATGAATGCACACATCACAAAGAAGTTCCTCAGAAAGCTTTCTGTCTGGTTTTAATATGAAGATATTTCCTTTTTCACCATAGGCCTTACACCGCTCACGAATATCCTTCTGCAGATACTATAAAAAGACTGTTTCCAAACTGCTCCATCAAAAGAAAATTTCACCTATCTGAGATGAATGCACACATCATACAGAAGTTCCTCAGAATTCTTCTGTCTAGTTTTTATGTGAAGATGTTTCCATTTTCACCTTAGGCCACAAAGCGCTCCAAACATCCGTTTGCAGATGATACGAAAGGACTGTTTCCAAACTGCTCAATCAAAAGAAATTTTCAACTCTGTGAGATGAGAGCACACATCACAAAAAAGTTTCTCAGAAATCTTCTGTCTCGCTTTTATCTCAAGATAATTCCTATTTTGCCATAGGAATCAAGGGGCTCACACATATCCCTTTGCGGATTCTACAAAAGTTCTCTTTACAAACTTCTCAATCAAAAGAAACGTTCAACATTGTGAGATGAATGAACACATCCCAAAGAAGTTTCTCAGGTTGCTTCTGTCTGGTTGCTATGTGAAGATGTTTCCTTTTTCACCGTGGTCTTTAAGCCACTCAAACATACCTGTCTGCAGACTCTACAAAAAGACTGTTTCCAAACTGGCCCATATAGCATGTTTCAACTATGTGAAATGAATGCACTCATCAAAAAGAAGTTTCTCAGGATTCTCCTGTCTAGTTTTTATGTGAAGATATTTCCTTTTTCCCCGTAGGCCACAAATTGCTCCAAATATCCATTTGCAGATTCTACAAAAAGAATGTTCCCAAACTGGTCAATCAACAGAAAGGCGCAACTGTGTGAGACGAAAGCACACATCACAAAGAAGTTTCTCGGAAAGCCTCTGTCTGCATTTTATGTGAAGGTATTTCCTTTGGCACCGTAGGACTTAAACCGCTCGCAAATATAACTCCACTTATACTACCAAGAGACTTTCTCCAAATTGCTAAATCTAAAGAAAGGTTCAACTCTGTGAGATGAATACACACATCAAAAAGAAGTTTCTCAAAATGCTTCTGTCTAGTTTTCATGGGAAGATATTTATTTTTCACCGTTGGCCCCAAACCGCTCAGAAATATCCCTTTGCAGTTTGTAGAAAAAGACTGCTTCCAAACTGCTCAATGAAAGGAAACGGCCAACTATTAGAGATGAATGGAAATGTCACTAAGAGTTTTCTCAAAAAGCTACTGTGTCGTTTTTATGTGAAGACATTGCCTTTGGCACCCTAGGCCTTAAAACTCTCTCAATACACATTCACAGATTCTACAAAAAGACTGATTCCAAACTGCTCAATCAGAAGAAGGGTTCAATTCCGTGTGACAAACGTGCACATCACCAAGGAAATTTGTCAGAAAGCTTCTGTCTACTTTTTATGTGAAGATATTTCATATTTCAACAAAGGCCATAAAGGGCTCACAAATATCCCTTCGCAGATTCTAAGAAAAGACGTTTTCCAAACTCCTCAACCAAAAGAAAGGTTTAACTCTGTGAGATGAATGGACACATCACGAAGAAGTTTCTCAGAAAGCTTCTGTCTACTTTTTATGTGAGGCTATTTCTTGTTCACCATAGGCCTCAAGCAGCTAAGAAATTTCCCTCTGCAGCTTCCACAAAAGACTGGTTCCAAACTGCTCAACTGAAAGGAAGGTTGAATTCTGTGACATGAATTCACACATCACAAAGAGGTTTTTCAGAAATCTCCTGTCTGGTTTTTAGGTGAAGATACTTCCTTTTTCACCACGGGCCTCAAATATCTCCAAATATCCATTTGCAGATTCTACAGAAAGACTTTCCAAACTGCTCCATCAAAAGAAAGGTTCAACACTGTGAGATGAAGGCACACATCACCAAGAAGTTTCTCAGAAACCTTCTGTCTAGTTTTTAGGTGAAGATACTTCGTATTTCACCACAGGCCATAAAGGGCTCACAAATATCCCTCTGCAGGTTCTACAAAAAGACTGTTCCCAAACTGCCCAATAGAAGGAGAGGTTCAACTCTGTGACGTAAACGGACACATCACAAAAAATTTCTTGGAATCCTTCCGTCTAGTTTTGATGGGAAGATATTTCTCTTTCACCATAAGCCTCAAACGGATCAGAATTCTCCCTTTGCAGGTTGTACGATAAGCCTCTTTCCAATCTGCTCAATCAAAAGAAAGTTTCCACTCGGTGAGGTGAATGCACACATCGCAAGGGAGTTTCTCAGAAAGCTTCTGTTTAGTTTTTACGTGAAGATATTTCGTTTTTCACCACGGGCCTCAAAAGCTCTCCAAATATCCATTTGCAGATTCTAGAAAAAGAGTGTTTCCAAACTCCTCAATCAAAGGATAGCTTCAATTCTGTGCGATGAAAGCACACATCACAACGAAGTTTCTTAGAAAGCGTCTGTCTAGTTTTTATGTGAAGATACTTCACATTGCATCACAGTACTCAATGGGCTCAGAAATATCCCCTTGCAGATCCTACAAAAGGACTGTTTCAAAACTGCTCAATCCAAAGAAAGTTTCAACTATGTGAGACGAATGCACACGTCACGAAGACGTTCCTCAGAAAGCTTCTGTCTAGTTTACATGTGAAGAAGATTCCTATTTCACCATAGGCAATAAAGGGCTCACAAATGTTTTTTGCAGATTCTCCGAAAACACTGTATCCAAACTGCTCAATAAAAAGAAAGTTTTAACTCTGTTCGATTAGTGGACACATCAAAAAGTAGTTTCTCAGAAAACTTCTGTGTAGTTTTTATGTGAAGATACTTCCTTTGTCACCATTGGCCTCAAAGCACTCCTAATATCCATTTACAGATGTCACAGAAAGAGTGTTTCCAAACTGCTCCATCAAAAGAAAGTGTTTAACTCTGTGAGGTGAAAGCACACATCTCAAAGAAGTTTCTCCGAAAGCTTTCGGTCTACTTTTCATGTGAAGATATTTCCAGTTTCACCGTAGGCCTCAAAGGGCTAAGAAATATCCCTTTCCAGATTCTAAAAGACGACCGTTTCCATACTTCTCAATCAAAAGGAAGGTTAAATTCTCTGAGGTTAATGCCCACGTCAGAATGAAGTTTCTCAGAATTCTCCTGTCTAGTTTTCATGGGAAGATATTTACTATTTCACTATAGGCTTCAAAAGTCTAAAAAATATCCCTTTGCAGATTCTACAAAAATATGCCTTCCAAAGTGCTGAATTAGAAGAAAGCTTCAACTCTGTCAGATGAATGGAGGCATCACAACGAAGTTCCTCAGAATGCTTCTGTCTAGTTTAAATGTGAAGACATTTCTTTTTCACCATAGACCTCAAAGGGCTCAGAGTTAGACCTTTGCAGATTGCAGAGAAACACTGTCTCTAAACTGCTCAAATAAAATAAAGTTTCAACACGGTGAGATGAACGCACACATCACAAAGAAGTTCCTCAGAAGGCTTCTGTCTGGTTTTTATGTGAAGATATTTCCTTTTTCACCATAGGCCTTACACCGCTCACAAATATCCTTCTGCAGATACTAGAAAAAGACTGTTTCCAAACTGCTCCATCAAAAGAAAATTTCACCCATCTGAGATGAATGCACACATCATAAAGAGGTTCCTCAGAATTCTTCTGTCTAGTTTTTATGTGAAGATGTTTCCATTTTCACCTTAGGCCACAAAGCGCTCCAAACATCCGTTTGCAGATGATACGAAAAGACTGTTTCCAAACTACTCAATCAAAAGAAATTTTCAACTCTGTGAGATGAAAGCACACATCACAAAAAAGTTTCTCAGAAATCTTCTGTCTCGCTTTTATCTCAAGATAATTCCTATTTTGCCATAGGAATCAAGGGACTCACACATATCTCTTTGCGGATTCTACAAAAGTTCTCTTTACAAACTTCTCAATCAAAAGAAACGTTCAACATTGTGAGATGAATGAACACATCCCAAAGAAGTTTCTCAGGTTGCTTCTGTCTGGTTGCTATGTGAAGATGTTTCCTTTTTCACCATAGTCTTTAAGCCACTCAAAAATATCTGTCTGCAGACTCTACCAAAAGACTGTTTCCAAACTGGCCCCTATGGCATGTTTCAACTATGTGAAATGAATGCACTCATCAAAAAGAAGTTTCTCAGGAGTCTGCCTGTCTAGTTTTTCTGTGAAGATATTTCCTTTTTCACCGTAGGCCACAAATTGCTCCAAATATCCATTTGCAGATTCTACAAAAAGAATGTTCCCAAACTGGTCAATCAAAAGAAAGGCACAACTCTGTGAGACGAAAGCACACATCACAAAGAAGTTTCTCGGAAAGCCTCTGTCTGCATTTTATGTGAAGGTATTTCCTTTGGCACCATAGGCCTTAAACCGCTCGCAAATATAACTCCACTTATACTACCAAGAGACTTTCTCCAAATTGCTAAATCTAAAGAAAGGTTCAAATCTGTGAGATGAATACACACATCAAAAAGAAGTTTCTCAAAATGCTTCTGTCTAGTTTTCATGGGAAGATATTTATTTTTCACCGTTGGCCCCAAACCGCTCAGAAATATCCCTTTGCAGGTTGTAGAAAAAGACTGCTTCCAAACTGCTCAATGAAAGGAAACGGCCAACTATTAGAGATGAATGGAAATGTCACAAAGAGTTTTCTCAAAATGCTACTGTGTCGTTTTTATGTGAAGACATTGCCTCTTGCACCCTAGGCCTTAAAACTCTCTAAATACACATTCACAGATTCTACAAAAAGACTGATTCCAAACTGCTCAATCAGAAGAAGGGTTCAATTCCGTGTGACAAACGTGCACATCACCAAGAAATTTGTCAGAAAGCTTCTGTCTACTTTTTACGTGAAGATATTTCATATTTCAACAAAGGCCATAAAGGGCTCACAAATATCCCTTTGCAGATTCTAAGAAAAGACCTTTTCCAAACTCCTCAATCAAAAGAAAGGTTTCACTCTGTGCGATGAATGGACACATCACAAAGAAGTTTCTCAGAAAGCTTCTGTCTAGTTTTTCTGTGAAGATATTTCTTTTTCACCATAGGCCTGAAGCAGCTAAGAAATTTCCCTCTGCATCTTCTACCAAAGACTGTTTCCAAACTGCTCAAGTGAAAGAAAGGTTGAATTCTGTGACATGAATTCACACATAACAAAGAGGTTTTTCAGAAATCTTTCTGTCTGGTTTTTAGGTGAAGATACTTCCTTTTTCACCACGGGCCTCAAATATCTCCAAATATCCATTTACAGATTCTACAGAAAGACTTTGCAAACTGCTCAATCAAAAGAAAGGTTCAACACTGTGAGATGAAGGCACACATCACCAAGAAGT
Organism: Homo sapiens; assembly: GCF_000001405.40. NCBI lineage: Eukaryota > Metazoa > Chordata > Mammalia > Primates > Hominidae > Homo > Homo sapiens. The sequence continues at coordinate 16,228,933 of NC_000014.9, read as the reverse complement.
TTCTCAGAAACCTTCTGTCTAGTTTTTAGGTGAAGATACTTCGTATTTCACTACAGGCCATAAAGGGCTCACAAATATCCCTCTGCAGGTTCTACAAAAAGACTGTTTCCAAACTGCCCAATCAAAGGAGAGGTTCAACTCTGTGACGTAAATGGACACATCACAAAAAATTTCTTGGAATGCT
>NC_000014.9:16140627-16228649 GCF_000001405.40 Homo sapiens | reverse complement strand
TTTGTCTAGTTTTTAGGTGAAGATATTTCTTATTTCCCCAGAGGCCTCAATGGGCTCTCAAATATTCCCTTTCATATTCTACTAAATGAGTGTATCGAAGCTGCTCAATCAAAAGACGGGTTTAACAGTGTGAGACGAAAATACACCTTCCTAGGAAGTTTCTCAGAATTCTTCTTTCTAGTTTTTTATGTGAAGATATTTCCTTTTCCACTATAGGCCTCAAAGCGTTCCAAATATCCACTTGCAGATACTACAAATAGAGCGTTTCAAAACTGCTCAATCAAAGGAAAGGTTCAACTCTGTGAGATGAATGCAGACATCAAAAAGAAGTTTCTCAGAATCCTTCTGCCTTGTTTTTATGTGAAGATATTTCCTTTTTCACCATAGGCCTCAAAGCACTGGTAATATCCATTTGCAGATACTACAAAAAGACTGTTCCCAAACTGCTCAATAAAAAGAAATTTTCAACTCTATGAGATAAAAGCAAATATCACAAAGAAGTTTCTCAGAAACTTTCTATCTAGTTTTTATGTGAACATATTTCTTATCACCCCATAGACCTCAATCGGCTCACAAGTATCCTTCTGCAGATTGTAAAAAAACTACTGTTTCCAAACCGCTCAATCACAGGAAAGGTTTAACTCTGTGAAATGAATGCATCCATCACAGAGAAGTTTCTCAGAATGCTTCCGTCTCGTTTTTATGTGAAGAAGATTCCTTTTCCACCCTATTCCTCATGCGCTCCAAATAAACACTTGCAGATTCCGCTAAAAGAGTGTTTCAAAACTGCTCAATCAAAAGAAAGGTTCTAGTCGGTGAGATGAATGCACACATCACAAAGAAGTTTCTATGAATGCTTCTGTCTGATTTATATTGAAGATATTTCCTTTTTCACCGTAGGCCTCAGAGTGCTTAAAATATCCATTTGCAGATACTAGAAAAGACTGTTTCCAAACTGCTCAATCAAAGTAAAGTTCAACTCAGTGAGATGAATGCACACATCACCAAGACGTTTCTGAGAAAGATTCTGTCTCGTTTTTATGTGAAGATATTTCCTGTTTCCCCAGAGGCATCAATGGGCTCACAAATATTCCTTTGCATATTCTACAAAATGACTGTTTAGAAGGTTCTCAATCAAAAAAAAAGTTCAACAGTGTGAGATGAATGCGCCCATTCAAAGGAAGTTTCTCAGAATTCTTCTATCTACTTTTTATGTGAAGATATTTCCTTTTTCACTGTAGGCCACAAAGTGCTCCAAATATCCACTTGCAGACTCTACAAAACGAGTGTATCCACACTGCTCAATCAAAAGAAAATTTCAACTGTGTGAGATGAATGCACACATCAAAATAAATTTCTCCAAAACTTCTGCCTACTTTTTATGGGAAGATATTTCGTTTTTCAACGTAGGCCAAAAGCACTCCAAATATCAATTTGCAGATTCTACAAAAAGACTGTTTCCAAACTGCTCAATCAAGAGAAAGTTTCAACCCGGTGAGTAGAAGTCACACATGACAAAATAGTTTCTCAGGAAGTATCTGTCTAGTTTTTATGTGAAGATATTTCCTATCACCCCAGAAGCCTCAATGGGCTCACAAATATTCCTTTGCAGATTCTACAAAACGACAGTTTCAAAACTGCTGAATCAAAAGAAAGGTTCAACTCTGTGAGATGAATGCACAGATCACAAATAAGTTTCTCAGAATGCTGCTGTCTAGTTTTTATGGGAAGATGTGTCTTTTTCCACCATAGGCCTGAAAGTGCCCCAAATATCCACTTATAGATTGTACAAAAAGACTGTTTCAAAACTGCTCAATCAAAAGAAAAGTTCAAATCTGTGAGATGAAAGCACACATCTGAAAGAAGTTTCTCAGAAAGTTTCTGACTAGTTTTTATGTGAAGATGTTTTCTTTTCCACCACAGGCCTCAAAGTGCTAAAAATATTCACTTGAAGATTCTACAAAAAGAGAGTTTCAAAACTGCTCAAACAAAAGAAAGGTTCAACTCTGTGACATTAATGCACACATCACAAAGAAGTTTCTCAGAATGCTTCTGTCTAGTTTTATGTAAAGATATTTCCTTTTCTACTATAGGCCACAAAGCACTCCAAATATCAACTTGCAGATTCTGCAGAAAGAGTTTTTCAAAGCTGCTCAATCAAAAGAAAAGTTCAACTCTTTGAGATGAATGCACACATCATGAAGTTCCTCAGAATGCTTCTATTTTTATGTGAAGATATATCCTTTTCTACCATAGACCACAAAACGCTCCAAATATCCCCTTGCAGTTTCTACTAAAAGAGTGTTTCCAAACTGCTCAATCAAAAGAAGTTTCAACTCTGTGAGATGAATGCACACATCATTAAGAAGTTTCTCAGTAATTTTCTGTCTAGTTTTTATGTGAAGATATTTCCTTTCCTACTATAGGCCTGAAAGTGCTGCAAATATCCGTTTGCAGATACTGCAAAAACACTGTTTCCACACTGCTCAATCAAAGGAAATGTCCAACTCTGTGAGTTGAATGCACGCATCTCAAAGAGATTACTTCTAATGATTCTGTCTAGTTTTGATGTGAAGATATTTGCTTTTCCACCAGTGGCCTCAAACTCTCCAAATATCCACTTGCAGATTCTACAATAAGAGTGTTTCAAAACTGCTCAATCAAAAGAAAGGTTCAACACTGTGAGATGAATGCACACGTCACAAAGCACTTTCTTAGAATGCTTCTGTCTAGCTTTTATGTGAAGATATTTCCTTTTTCACCATAGGCTGCAAAGCGCTCCAAATACCCCTTTCAGATTCTACAGAAAGAGTGTTTCAAAACTGTTCAATCAAAAGAGAAACTCAACTCTGGTGATGAATGCACGCATCACAAAGCAGTTTCTCATAATGTTTCTGTCTAGTTTTTATGTGAAGATATTTCATTCTCCACTATAGGCCGTAATGCACTCCTAATATCCACTTGCAGATTCTACAAAAAGACTGTTTGCAAACTGCTCAAACAAAAGAAAAGTTCAACTCTGTGAGTTGAATGAGCACATCACAAAGAAGTTTCTCAGAATGCTTCTGTCTAGTTTTTATGTGAATATATTTCCTTTTCCACTATAGGCCGTAATGCGCTCCAAATATCCACTTGCAGTTTCTACAAAAAGACTGTTTCCAAACTGCGCAATCAAAAGAAAAGCTCAACTCTGTGAGTTGAATGAGCACATCAGAAAGAAGTTTCTCAGAATGCTTCTATCTAGTTTTTATGTGAATATATTTCCTTTTCCACCACAGGCCACAAACCCTCCAAATATCCACTTGAAGATTCTACAAAAAGAGTGCTTCAAAAATGCTCAATCAAAAGAAAGGTTCAACTCTTCGATATGGACGCACACATCACAAAGAAGCTTCTCAGAATGTTTCTGTCTAGTTTTTTTGTGAAGATATTTCCTTTTCCACCGTAGTCCTCAAGTCTCTCCAAATATCTACTTTCAGAATCTCCAAAAAGAGTGTTTTAAAACTGCTGTACCAAAGAAAGTTTCATGTCTGAGTTATGACTGCATACAACACAGAGAAGTTTCTCAAAGTGCTTCTGTTTATTTTTTTTATGAAGATATTTCCTTTTCCACTATGGGCCACAGAGCGCTCCAAATATCCACTGGCAGATTCTACAAAAAGAGTGTTTCAAAACTGCTCAATCAATAGAAAGTTTGAAGTCTGTGAGATGAGTGCACACATCACAAAGGAGTTTCTAAGAATGCTTCCATCTGAATTTTATGTGAGGATATTTCCTTTTTCACCATAGGCCTCAATACACTCCAAATATCCATTTACAGATAATACAAATGACTGTATCCAAACTGCTCAATCAAAAGAAAGTTCAACTGTGCATGATGAATGCACACATCACAAGGGTGTTTCTCAGAAAGATTTTGTCTAGTTTTTAGGTGAAGATATTTCTTATTTCCCCAGAGGCCTCAATGGGCTCTCAAATATTCCTTTTCATAATCTACTAAATGACTGTATCGAAGCTGCTCAATCAAAAGACGGGTTTAACAGTGTGAGACAAAAATACACCTTCCTAGGAAGTTTCTCAGAATTCTTCTTTCTAGTTTTTTATGTGAAGATATTTCCTTTTCCACTATAGGCCTCAAAGCGTTCCAAATATCCACTTGCAGATACTACAAATAGAGCGTTTCAAAACTGCTCAATCAAAAGAAAGTTTCAACACTGCGAGATGAATGCAGACATCAAAAAGAAGCTTCTCAGAATGCTTCTGCCTTGTTTTTATGTGAAGATATTTCCTTTTTCACCATAGGCCTCAAAGCACTGGTAATATCCATTTGCAGATACTACAAAAAGACTGTCCCCAAACTGCTCAATAAAAAGAAAGTTTCAACTCTAGGAGATAAAAGCAAATATCACAAAGAAGTTTCTCAGAAACTTTCTATCTAGTTTTTATGTGAACATATTTCTTATCACCCCATAGACCTCAATCGGCTCACAAGTATCCTTCTGCAGATTGTAAAAAACTACTGTTTCCAAACCGGTCAATCACAGGAAAGGTTTAACTCTGGGAAATGAATGCATCCATCACAGAGAAGTTTCTCAGAATGCTTCCGTCTCGTTTTTATGTGAAGAAGATTCCTTTTCCACCATATTCTTCATGCGCTACAAAGAAACACTTGCAGATTCCGCTAAAAGAGTGTTTCAAAACTGCTCAATCAAAAGAAAGGTTCTAGTCGGTGAGATGAATGCACACATCACAAAGAAGTTTCTATGAATGCTTCTGTCTGATTTATATTGAAGATATTTCCTTTTTCACCGTAGGCCTCAGAGCGCTTAAAATATCCATTTGCAGATACTAGAAAAAGACTGTTTCCAAACTGCTCAATCAAAATAAAGTTCAACTCAGTGAGATGAATGCACATATCACAAAGAAGTTTCTGAGAAAGATTCTGTCTCGTTTTTATGTGAAGATATTTCCTGTTTCCCCAGAGGCATCAATGGGCTCACAAATATTCCTTTGCATATTCTACAAAATGACTGTTTAGAAGGTGCCCAATCAAAAAAAAAGTTCAACAGTGTGAGATGAATGCGCCCATTCAAAGGAAGTTTCTCAGAATTCTTCTATCTAGTTTTTATGTGAAGATATTTCCTTTTTCACTATAGGCCACAAAGTGCTCCAAATATCCACTTGCAGACTCTACGAAACGAGTGTATCCACACTGCTCAAACAAAAGAAAATTTCAACTGTTTGAGATGAATGCACACATCAAAATAAATTTCTCCAAAACTTCTGCCTACTCTTTATGGGAAGATATTTCGTTTTTCAACGTAGGCCAAAAGCACTCCAAATATCAATTTGCAGATTCTACAAAAAGACTGTTTCCAAACTGCTCAATCAAGAGAAAGTTTCAACCCGGTGAGTAGAAGTCACACATGACAAAATAGTTTCCCAGAAAGTATCTGTCTAGTTTTAATGTGAAGATATTTCCTATCACCCCAGAAGCCTCAATGGGCTCACAAATATTCCTTTGCAGATTCTACAAAACGACAGTTTCAAAACTGCTGAATCAAAAGAAAGGTTCAATTCTGTGAGATGAATGCACAGATCACAAATAAGTTTCTCAGAATGCTGCTGTCTAGTTTTTATGGGAAGAGATTTCCTTTTCCACCATAGGCCTCAAAGCTCTCCAAATAGCCATTTGCAGATACTGTAAAAAGACTGTTTCCAAACTGCTGAATCAAAAGAAAGGTTGAACTCCATGAGTTGAATGCACACGTCACAAAGAAGTTTCTCAGAATACTTCTGACTAGTTTTTATGTGAAGATATTTTCTTTTCCACCATAGGCCTCAAAGCGCTGAAAATATCCACTTGAAGATTCTACAAAAAGAGAGTTTCAAAACTGCTCAAACAAAAGAAAGATTCAACTCTGTGAGATGAATGCACACATCACAAAGAAGTTTCTCAGAATGCTTCTGTCTAGTTTTATGTAAAGATATTTCCTTTTCTACTATAGGCCACAAAGCACTCCAAATATCAACTTGCAGATTCTGCAGAAAGAGATTTTCAAAGCTGCTCAATCAAAAGAAAAGTTCAACTCTTTGAGATGAATGCACACATCATGAAGTTCCTCAGAATGCTTCTATTTTTATGTGAAGATATATCCTTTTCTACCATAGACCACAAAACGCTCCAAATATCCCCTTGCAGTTTCTACTAAAAGAGTGTTTCCAAACGGCTCAATCAAAAGAAAGTTTCAACTCTGTGAGATGAATGCACACAACATTAAGTAGTGTCTCAGTAATTTTTCTGTATGGTTTTTATGTGAAGATATTTCCTTTCCTACTATAGGCCTGAAAGTGCTCCAAATATCCGTTTGCAGATACTGCATAAAGACTGTTTCCAAACTGCTCAATCAAAGGAAATGTCCAACTCTGTGAGTTGAATGCACGCATCTCAAAGAGATTACTTATAATGATCCTGTCTAGTTTTGATGTGAAGATATTTGCTTTTCCACCAGTGGCCTCAAACTCTCCAAATATCCACTTGCAGATTCTACAATAAGAGTGTTTCAAAACTGCTCAATCGAAAGAAAGGTTCAACACTGTCAGATGAATGCACACGTCACAAAGCACTTTCTTAGAATGCTTCTGTCTAGCTTTTATGTGAAGATATTTCCTTTTTCACCATAGGCTGCAAAGCGCTCCAAATATCCCTTTCAGATTCTACAGAAAGAGTGTTTCAAAACTGTTCAATCAAAAGAGAAACTCAACTCTGGTGATGAATGCACGCATCACAAAGCGGTTTCTCATAATGTTTCTGTCTAGTTTTTATGTGAAGATATTTCATTTTCCACTATAGGCCGTAATGCACTCCTAATATCCACTTGCAGATTCTACAGAAAGACTGTTTGCAAACTGCTCAAACAAAAGAAAAGTTCAACTCTGTGAGTTGAATGAGCACATCACAAAGAAGTTTCTCAGAATGCTTCTCTGTCTAGTTTTTATGTGAATATATTTCCTTTTCCACTATAGGCCGTCATGCGCTCCAAATATCCACTTGCAGATTCTACAAAAAGACTGTTTCCAAACTGCTCAATCAAAAGAAAAGCTCAACTCTGTGAGGTGAATGAGCACATCCCAAAGAAGTTCCTCAGAATGCTTCTATCTAGTTTTTATGTGAATATATTTGCTTTTCCACCACAGGCCACAAACCCTCCAAATATCCACTTGAAGATTCTACAAAAAGAGTGCCTCAAAAATGCGCAATCAAAAGAAAGGTTCAACTCTTCGAGATGGACGCACACATCACAAAGAAGCTTCTCAGAATGTTTCTGTCTAGTTTTTTTGTGAAGATATTTCCTTTTCCACCGTAGTCCTCAAGTCTCTCCAAATATCTACTTTCAGAATCTCCAAAAAGAGTGTTTTAAAACTGCTGTACCAAAGAAATTTTCATGTCTGAGATATGACTGCATACAACACAGAGAAGTTTCTCAAAGTGCTTCTGTTTATTTTTTTTATGAAGATATTTCCGTTTCCACTATGGGCCACAGAGCGCTCCAAATATCCACTGGCAGATTCTACAAAAAGAGTGTTTCAAAACTGCTCAATCAATAGAAAGTTTGAAGTCTGTGAGATGAGTGCACACATCACAAAGGAGTTTCTAAGAATGCTTCCATCTGAATTTTATGTGAGGATATTTCCTTTTTCACCATAGGCCTCAGTACACTCCAAATATCCATTTACAGATAATACAAATGACTGTATCCAAACTGCTCAATCAAAAGAAATTTCAACTCTGTATGATGAATGCACACATCACAAGGGTGTTTCTCAGAAAGATTTTGTCTAGTTTTTAGGTGAAGATATTTCTTATTTCCCCAGAGGCCTCAATGGGCTCTCAAATATTCCCTTTCATATTCTACTAAATGACTGTATCGAAGCTGCTCAATCAAAAGACGGGTTTAACAGTGTGAGACGAAAATACACCTTCCTAGGAAGTTTCTCAGAATTCTTCTTTCTAGTTTTTTATGTGAAGATATTTCCTTTTCCACTATAGGCCTCAAAGCGTTCCAAATATCCACTTGCAGATACTACAAAGAGAGTGTTTCAAAACTGCTCAATCAAAAGAAAGGTTCAACTTTGTGAGATGAATGCAGACATCACAAAGAAGTTTCTCAGAATCCTTCCGCCTTGTTTTTATGTGAAGATATTTCCTTTTTCACCATAGGCCTCAAAGCACTGGTAATATCCATTTGCAGATACTACAAAAAGACTGTTCCCAAACTGCTCAATAAAAAGAAATTTTCAACTCTAGGAGATAAAAGCTAATATCACAAAGAAGTTTCTCAGAAACTTTCTATCTAGTTTTTATGTGAACATATTTCTTATCACCCCATAGACCTCAATCGGCTCACAAGTATCCTTCTGCAGATTGTAAAAAACTACTGTTTCCAAACCGCTCAATCACAGGAAAGGTTTAACTCTGTGAAATGAATGCATCCATCACAGAGAAGTTTCTCAGAATGCTTCCGTCTCGTTTTTATGTGAAGAAGATTCCTTTTCCACCATATTCCTCATGCGCTCCAAATAAACACTTGCAGATTCCGCTAAAAGAGTGTTTCAAAACTGCTCAATGAAAAGAAAGGTTCTAGTCGGTGAGATGAATGCACACATCACAAAGAAGTTTCTATGAATGCTTCTGTCTGATTTATATTGAAGATATTTCCTTTTTCACCGTAGGCCTCAGAGTGCTTAAAATATCCATTTGCAGATACTAGAAAAGACTGTTTCCAAACTGCTCAATCAAAGTAAAGTTCAACTCAGTGAGATCAATGCACACATCACCAAGACGTTTCTGAGAAAGATTCTGTCTCGTTTTTATGTGAAGATATTTCCTGTTTCCCCAGAAGGCATCAATGGGCTCACAAATATTCCTTTGCATATTCTACAAAATGACTGTTTAGAAGGTGCTCAATCAAAAAAAAAGTTCAACAGTGTGAGATGAATGCGCCCATTCAAAGGAAGTTTCTCAGAATTCTTCTATCTAGTTTTTATGTGAAGATATTTCCTTTTTCACTATAGGCCACAAAGTGCTCCAAATATCCACTTGCAGACTCTACAAAACGAGTGTATCCACACTGCTCAATCAAAAGAAAATTTCAACTGTGTGAGATGAATGCACACATCAAAATAACTTTCTCCAAAACTTCTGCCTACTTTTTATGGGAAGATATTTCGTTTTTCAACGTAGGCCAAAAGCACTCCAAATATCAATTTGCAGATTCTACAAAAAGACTGTTTCCAAACTGCTCAATCAACAGAAAGTTTCAACCCGGTGAGTAGAAGACACACATGACAAAATAGTTTCTCAGAAAGTATCTGTCTAGTTTTTACGTGAAGATATTTCCTATCACCCCAGAAGCCTCAATGGGCTCACAAATATTCCTTTGCAGATTCTACAAAACGACAGTTTCAAAACTGCTGAATCAAAAGAAAGGTTCAACTCTGGGAGATGAATGCACAGATCACAAATAAGTTTCTCAGAATGCTGCTGTCTAGTTTTTATGGGAAGATAATTCCTTTTCCACCATAGGCCTCAAAGCTCTCCAAATAGCCATTTGCAGATACTGTAAAAAGACTGTTTCCAAACTGCTGAATCAAAAGAAAGGTTGAACTCCATGAGTTGAATGCACACGTCACAAAGAAGTTTCTCAGAATGGTTCTGACTAGTTTTTATGTGAAGATATTTTCTTTTCCACCATAGGCCTCAAAGCGCTGAAAATATCCACTTGAAGATTCTACAGAAAGAGAGTTTCAAAACTGCTCAAACAAAAGAAAGATTCAACTCCGTGAGATGAATGCACACATCACAAAGAAGTTTCTCAGAATGCTTCTGTCTAGTTTTATGTAAAGATATTTCCTTTTCTACTATAGGCCACAAAGCACTCCAAATATCAACTTGCAGATTCTGCAGAAAGAGTTTTTCAAAGCTGCTCAATCAAAAGAAAAGTTCAACTCTTTGAGATGAATGTACACATCAGGAAGTTCCTCAGAATGCTTCTATTTTTATGTGAAGATAACCTTTTCTACCATAGACCACAAAACGCTCCAAATATCCCCTTGCAGTTTCTACTAAAAGAGTGTTTCCAAACTGCTCAATCAAAGGAAAGTTTCAACTCTGTGAGATGAATGCACACATCATTAAGAAGTTTCTCAGTAATTTTCTGTATGGTTTTTATGTGAAGATATTTCCTTTCCTACTATAGGCCTGAAAGTGCTCCAAATATCCGTTTGCAGATACTGCATAAAGACTGTTTCCAAACTGCTCAATCAAAGGAAATGTCCAACTCTGTGAGTTGAATGCACGGCATCTCAAAGAGATTACTTATAATGATCCTGTCTAGTTTTGATGTGAAGATATTTGCTTTTCCACCAGTGGCCTCAAACTCTCCAAATATCCAGTTGCAGATTCTACAATAAGAGTGTTTCAAATCTGCTCAATCAAAAGAAAGGTTCAACACTGTCAGATGAATGCACACGTCACAAAGCACTTTCTTAGAATGCTCTGTCTAGCTTTTATGTGAAGATATTTCCTTTTTCACCATAGGCTGCAAAGCGCTCCAAATATCCCTTTCAGATTCTACAGAAAGAGTGTTTCAAAACTGTTCAATCAAAAGAGAAATTCAACTCTGGTAATGAATGCACGCATCACAAAGCAGTTTCTCATAATGTTTCTGTCTAGTTTTTATGTGAAGATATTTCATTTTCCACTATAGGCCGTAATGCACTCCTAATATCCACTTGCAGATTCTACAGAAAGACTGTTTGCAAACTGCTCAAACAAAAGAAAAGTTCAACTCTGTGAGTTGAATGAGCACATCACAAAGAAGTTTCTCAGAATGCTTCTGTCTAGTTTTTATGTGAATATATTTCCTTTTCCACTATAGGCCGTAATGCGCTCCAAATATCCACCTGGAGATTCTACAAAAAGACTGTTTCCAAACTGCTCAATCAAAAGAAAAGCTCAACTCTGTGAGTGGAATGAGCACATCACAAAGAAGTTTCTCAGAATGCTTCTATCTAGTTTTTATGTGAATATATTTCCTTTTCCACCACAGGCCACAAACACTCCAAATATCCACTTGAAGTTTCTACAAAAAGAGTGCTTCAAAAATGCTCAATCAAAAGAAAGGTTCAACTCTTTGAGATGGATGCACACATCACAAAGAAGCTTTCTCAGAATGTTTCTGTCTAGTTTTTTTGTGAAGATATTTCCTTTTCCACCGTAGTCCTCAAGTCTCTCCAAATATCTACTTTCAGAATCTCCAAAAAGAGTGTTTTAAAACTGCTGTACCAAAGAAAGTTTCATGTCTGAGATATGACTGCATACAACACAGAGAAGTTTCTCAAAGTGCTTCTGTTTATTTTTTTTATGAAGATAATTCCTTTTCCACTATGGGCCACAGAGCGCTCCAAATATCGACTTGCAGATTCTACAAAAAGAGTGTTTCAAAACTGCTCAATCAATAGAAAGTTTGAAGTCTGTGAGATGAATGCACACACCACAAAGGAGTTTCTAAGAATGCTTCCATCTGAATTTTATGTGAGGATATTTCCTTTTTCACCATAGGCCTCAATACACTCCAAATATCCATTTACAGATAATACAAATGACTGTATCCAAACTGCTCAATCAAAAGAAAGTTCAACTGTGTATGATGAATGCACACATCACAAGGGTGTTTCTCAGAAAGTTTTTGTCTAGTTTTTAGGTGAAGATATTTCTTATTTCCCCAGAGGCCTCAATGGGCTCTCAAATATTCCCTTTCATATTCTACTAAATGACTGTATCGAAGCTGCTCAATCAAAAGAGGGGTTTAACAGTGTGAGACGAAAATACACCTTCCTAGGAAGTTTCTCAGAATTCTTCTTTCTAGTTTTTTATGTGAAGATATTTCCTTTTCCACTATAGGCCTCAAAGCGTTCCAAATATCCACTTGCAGATACTACAAATAGAGCGTTTCAAAACTGCTCAATCAAAGGAAAGGTTCAACTCTGTGAGATGAATGCAGACATCAAAAAGAAGTTTCTCAGAATGCTTCTGCCTTGTTTTTATGTGAAGATATTTCCTTTTTCACCATAGGCCTCAAAGCACTGGTAATATCCATTTGCAGATACTACAAAAAGACTGTTCCCAAACTGCTCAATAAAAAGAAAGTTTCAACTCTATGAGATAAAAGCAAATATCACAAAGAAGTTTCTCAGAAACTTTCTATCTAGTTTTTATGTGAACATATTTCTTATCACCCCATAGACCTCAATCGGCTCACAAGTATCCTTCTGCAGATTATGAAAAACTACTGTTTCCAAACCGCTCAATCACAGGAAAGGTTTAACTCTGTGAAATGAATGCATCCATCACAGAGAAGTTTCTCAGAATGCTTCCGTCTCGTTTCCATGTGAAGAATATTCCTTTTCCACCATATTCCTCATGCGCTCCAAATAAACACTTGCAGATTCCGCTAAAAGAGTGTTTCAAAACTGCTCAATCAAAAGAAAGGTTCTAGTCGGTGAGATGAATGCACACATCACAAAGCAGTTTCTATGAATGCTTCTGTCTGATTTATATTGAAGATATTTCCTTTTTCACCGTAGGCCTCAGAATGCTTAAAATATCCATTTGCAGATACTAGAAAAGACTGTTTCCAAACTGCTCAATCAAAGTAAAGTTCAACTCAGTGAGATGAATGCACACATCACCAAGACGTTTCTGAGAAAGATTCTGTCTCGTTTTTATGTGAAGATATTTCCTGTTTCCCCAGAGGCATCAATGGGCTCACAAATATTCCTTTGCATATTCTACAAAATGACTGTTTAGAAGGTGCTCAATCAAAAAAAAAGTTCAACAGTGTGAGATGAATGCGCCCATTCAAAGGAAGTTTCTCAGAATTCTTCTATCTAGTTTTTATGTGAAGATATTTCCTTTTTCACTATAGGCCACAAAGTGCTCCAAATATCCACTTGCAGACTCTACAAAACGAGTGTATCCACACTGCTCAATCAAAAGAAAATTTCAACTGTGTGAGATGAGTGCACACATCAAAATAAATTTCTCCAAAACTTCTGCCTACTTTTTATGGGAAGATATTTCGTTTTTCAACGTAGGCCAAAAGCACTCCAAATATCAATTTGCAGATTCTACAAAAAGACTGTTTCCAAACTGCTCAATCAAGAGAAAGTTTCAACCCGGTGAGTAGAAGTCACACATGACAAAATAGTTTCTCAGAAAGTAGCTGTCTAGTTTTTATGGGAAGAGATTTCCTTTTCCACCATAGGCCTCAAAGCTCTCCAAATAGCCATTTGCAGATACTGTAAAAAGACTGTTTCCAAACTGCTGAATCAAAAGAAAGGTTGAACTCCATGAGTTGAATGCACACGTCACAAAGAAGTTTCTCAGAATGCTTCTGACTAGTTTTTATGTGAAGATGTTTTCTTTTCCACCATAGGCCCCAAAGTGCTAAAAATATCCACTTGAAGATTCTACAAAAAGAGGGTTTCAAAACTGCTCAAACAAAAGAAAGGTTCAACTCTGTGACATGAATGCACACGTCACAAAGACGTTTCTCAGAATGCTTCTGTCTAGTTTTATGTAAAGATATTTCCTTTTCTACTATAGGCCACAAAGCATTCCAAATATCAACTTGCAGATTCTGCAGAAAGAGTTTTTCAAAGCTGCTCAGTCAAAAGACAAGTTCAACTCTTTGAGATGAATGCACACATCATGAAGTTCCTCAGAATGCTTCTATTTTTATGTGAAGATATATCCTTTTCTACCATAGACCACAAAACGCTCCAAATATCCCCTTGCAGTTTCTACGAAAAGAGTGTTTCCAAACGGCTCAATCAAAAGAAAGTTTCAACTCTGTGAGATGAATGCACACATCATTAAGAAGTTTCTCAGTAATTTTCTGTCTAGTTTTTATGTGAAGATATTTCCTTTCCTACTATAGGCCTGAAAGTGCTGCAAATATCCGTTTGCAGATACTGCAAAAAGACTGTTTCCACACTGCTCAATCAAAGGAAATGTCCAACTCTGTGAGTTGAATGCACGCATCTCAAAGAGATTACTTATAATGATCCTGTCTAGTTTTGATGTGAAGATATTTGCTTTTCCACCAGTGGCCTCAAACTCTCCAAATATCCAGTTGCAGATTCTACAATAAGAGTGTTTCAAAACTGCTCAATCAAAAGAAAGGTTCAACACTGTGAGATGAATGCACACGTCACAAAGCACTTTCTTAGAATGCTTCTGTCTAGCTTTTATGTGAAGATATTTCCTTTTTCACCATAGGCTGCAAAGCGCTCCAAATATCCCTTTCAGATTCTACAGAAAGAGTATTTCAAAACTGTTCAATCAAAAGAGAAACTCAACTCTGGTGATGAATGCACGCATCACAAAGCAGTTTCTCATAATGTTTCTGTCTAGTTTTTATGTGAAGATATTTCATTCTCCACTATAGGCTGTAATGCACTCCTAATATCCACTTGCAGATTCTACAAAAAGACTGTTTGCAAACTGCTCAAACAAAAGAAAAGTTCAACTCTGTGAGTTGAATGAGCACATCACAAAGAAGTTTCTCAGAATGCTTCTGTCTAGATTTTATGTGAATATATTTCCTTTTCCACTATAGGCCGTAATGCGCTCCAAATATCCACCTGCAGATTCTACAAAAAGACTGTTTCCAAACTGCTCAATCAAAAGAAAAGCTCAACTCTGTGAGTTGAATGAGCACATCACAAAGAAGTTTCTCAGAATGCTTCTATCTAGTTTTTATGTGAATATATTTCCTTTTCCACCACAGGCCACAAACACTCCAAATATCCACTTGAAGATTCTACAAAAAGAGTGCTTCAAAAATGCTCAATCAAAAGAAAGTTTCAACTCTTTGAGATGGATGCACACATCACAAAGAAGCTTCTCAGAATGTTTCTGTCTAGTTTTTCTGTGAAGATATTTCCTTTTCCACCGTAGTCCTCAAGTCTCTCCAAATATCTACTTTCAGAATCTCCAAAAAGAGTGTTTTAAAACTGCTGTACCAAAGAAATTTTCATGTCTGAGATATGACTGCATACAACACAGAGAAGTTTCTCAAAGTGCTTCTGTTTATTTTTTTTATGAAGATATTTCCTTTTCCACTATGGGCCACAGAGCGCTCCAAATATCCACTGGCAGATTCTACAAAAAGAGTGTTTCAAAACTGCTCAGTCAATAGAAAGTTTGAAGTCTGTGAGATGAATGCACACATCACATAGGAGTTTCTAAGAATGCTTCCATCTGAATTTTATGTGAGGATATTTCCTTTTTCACCATAGGCCTCAGTACACTCCAAATATCCATTTACAGATAATAGAAATGACTGTATCCAAACTGCTCAATCAAAAGAAAGTTCAACTGTGTATGATGAATGCACACATCACAAGGGTGTTTCTCAGAAAGTTTTTGTCTTGTTTTTAGGTGAAGATATTTCTTATTTCCCCAGAGGCCTCAATGGGCTCTCAAATATTCCCTTTCATATTCTACTAAATGACTGTATCGAAGCTGCTCAATCAAAAGACGGGTTTAACAGTGTGAGACGAAAATACACCTTCCTAGGAAGTTTCTCAGAATTCTTCTTTCTAGTTTTTTATGTGAAGATATTTCCTTTTCCACTATAGGCCTCAAAGCGTTCCAAATATCCACTTGCAGATACTACAAATAGAGCGTTTCAAAACTGCTCAATCAAAAGAAAGGTTCAACTCTGTGAGATGAATGCAGACATCAAAAAAACTTTCTCAGAATGCTTCCGCCTTGTTTTTATGTGAAGATATTTCCTTTTTCACCATAGGCCTCAAAGCACTGGTAATATCCATTTGCAGATATTACAAAAAGACTGTTCCCAAACTGCTCAATAAAAAGAAAGTTTCAACTCTAGGAGATAAAAGCAAATATCACAAAGAAGTTTCTCAGAAACTTTCTATCTAGTTTTTATGTGAACATATTTCTTATCACCCCATAGACCTCAATCGGCTCACAAGTATCCTTCTGCAGATTATAAAAATCTACTGTTTCCAAACCGCTCAATCACAGGAAAGGTTTAACTCTGTGAAATGAATGCATCCATCACAGAGAAGTTTCTCAGAATGCTTCCGTCTCGTTTTTATGTGAAGAAGATTCCTTTTCCACCATATTCCTCATGCGCTCCAAAGAAACACTTGCAGATTCCGCTAAAAGAGTGTTTCAAAACTGCTCAATCAAAAGACAGGTTCTAGTCGGTGAGATGAATGCACACATCACAAAGACGTTTCTATGAATGCTTCTGTCTGATTTATATTGAAGATATTTCCTTTTTCACCGTAGGCCTCAGAGTGCTTAAAATATCCATTTGCAGATACTAGAAAAGACTGTTTCCAAACTGCTCAATCAAATTAAAGTTCAACTCAGTGAGATGAATGCACACATCACCAAGACGTTTCTGAGAAAGATTCTGTCTCGTTTTTATGTGAAGATATTTCCTGTTTCCCCAGAGGCATCAATGGGCTCACAAATATTCCTTTGCAGATTCTACAAAATGACTCTTTAGAAGGTGCTCAATCAAAAAAAAAGTTCAACAGTGTGAGATGAATGCGCCCATTCAAAGGAAGTTTCTCAGAATTCTTCTATCTAGTTTTTATGTGAAGATATTTCCTTTTTCACTATAGGCCACAAAGTGCTCCAAATATCCACTTGCAGACTCTACGAAACGAGTGTATCCACACTGCTCAATCAAAAGAAAATTTCAACTGTGTGAGATGAATGCACACATCAAAATAAATTTCTCCAAAACTTCTGCCTACTTTTTATGGGAAGATATTTAGTTTTTCAACGTAGGCCAAAAGCACTCCAAATATCAATTTGCAGATTCTACAAAAAGACTGTTTCCAAACTGCTCAATCAACAGAAAGTTTCAACCCGGTGAGTAGAAGTCACACATGACAAAATAGTTTCTCAGAAAGTATCTGCCTACTTTTTATGGGAAGATATTTCGTTTTTCAACGTAGGTCAAAAGCACTCCAAATATCAATTTGCAGATTCTACAAAACGACAGTTTCAAAACTGCTGAATCAAAAGAAAGGTTCAACTCTGTGAGATGAATGCACAGATCACAAATAAGTTTCTCAGAATGCTGCTGTCTAGTTTTTATGGGAAGATATTTCCTTTTCCACCATAGGCCTCAAAGCTCTCCAAATAGCCATTTGCAGATACTGTAAAAAGACTGTTTCCAAACTGCTGAATCAAAAGAAAGGTTGAACTCCATGAGTTGAATGCACACGTCACAAAAATTTCCCAGAATGCTTCTGACTAGTTTTTATGTGAAGATATTTTCTTTTCCACCATAGGCCTCAAAGCGCTGAAAATATCCACTTGAAGATTCTACAGAAAGAGAGTTTCAAAACTGCTCAAACAAAAGAAAGATTCAACTCTGTGAGATGAATGCACACATCACAAAGAAGTTTCTCAGAATGCTTCTGTCTAGTTTTATGTGAATATATTTCCTTTTCCACTGTAGGCCTCAAAGCACTCCAAATATCAACGTGCAGATTCTGCAGAAAGAGTTTTTCAAGCTCTCAATCAAAAGAAAAGTTCAACTCTGTGAGACGAATGCACACATCATTAAGAAGTTCCTCAGAATGCTTCTGTCTATTTTTTATGTGAAGATATATCCTTTTCTACCAAAGACCGCAAAGTGCTCCAAATATCCCCTTGCAGTTTCTACTAAAAGAGTGTTTCCAAACTGCTCAATCAAAAGAAAGTTTCAACTCTGTGAGATGAATGCACACATCACTAACAAGTTTCTCAGTAATTTTCTGTATGGTTTTTATGTGAAGATATTTCCTTTCCTACTATAGGCCTGAAAGTGCTCCAAATATCCGTTTGCAGATACTGCAAAAAGACTGTTTCCAAACTGCTCAATCAAAGGAAATGTCCAACTCTGTGAGTTGAATGCACGCATCTCAAAGAGATTACTTATAATGATTCTGACTAGTTTTGATGTGAAGATATTTGCTTTTCCACCAGTGGCCTCAAACTCTCCAAATATCCACTTGCAGATTCTACAATAAGAGTGTTTCAAAACTGCTCAATCAAAAGAAAGGTTCAACACTGTGAGATGAATGCACACGTCACAAAGCACTTTCTTAAAATGCTTCTGTCTAGCTTTTATGTGAAGATATTTCCTTTTTCACCATAGGCTGCAAAGCGCTCCAAATATCCCTTTCAGATTCTACAGAAAGAGTGTTTCAAAACTGTTCAATCAAAAGAGAAACTCAACTCTGGTGATGAATGCACGCATCACAAAGCAGTTTCTCATAATGTTTCTGTCTAGTTTTTATGTGAAGTTATTTCATTTTCCACTATAGGCCGTAATGCACTCCTAATATCCACTTGCAGATTCTACAGAAAGACTGTTTGCAAACTGCTCAAACAAAAGAAAAGTTCAACTCTGTGAGTTGAATGAGCACATCACAAAGAAGTTTCTCAGAATGTTTCTGTCTAGTTTTTATGTGAATATATTTCCTTTTCCACTATAGGCCGTAATGTGCTCCAAATATCCACCTGCAGATTCTACAAAAAGACTGTTTCCAAAGTGCTCAATCAAAAGAAAAGTTCAACTCTGTGAGATGAATGAGCACATCACAAAGAAGCTTCTCAGAATGTTTCTATCTAGTTTTTATGTGAATATATTTCCTTTTCCACCACAGGCCACAAACACTCCAAATATCCACTTGAAGTTTCTACAAAAAGAGTGCTTCAAAAATGCTCAATCAAAAGAAAGGTTCAACTCTTTGAGATGGATGCACACATCACAAAGAAGCTTCTCAGAATGTTTCTGTCTAGTTTTTTTGTGAAGATATTTCCTTTTCCACCGTAGTCCTCAAGTCTCTCCAAATATCTACTTTCAGAATCTCCAAAAAGAGTGTTTTAAAACTGCGGTACCAAAGAAAGTTTCATGTCTGAAATATGACTGCATACAACACAGAGAAGTTTCTCAAAGTGCTTCTGTTTATTTTTCTTATGAAGATATTTCCTTTTCCACTATGGGCCACAGAGCGCTCCAAATATCCACTGGCAGATTCTACAAAAAGAGTGTTTCAAAACTGCTCAATCAATAGAAAGTTTGAAGTCTGTGAGATGAATGTACACATCACAAAGGAGTTTCTAAGAATGCTTCCATCTGAATTTTATGTGAGGATATTTCCTTTTTCACCATAGGCCTCAGTACACTCCAAATATCCATTTACAGATAATACAAATGACTGTATCCAAACTGCTCAATCAAAAGAACGTTCCACTGTGTATGATGAATGCACACATCACAAGGGTGTTTCTCAGAAAGTTTTTGTCTAGTTTTTAGGTGAAGATATTTCTTATTTCCCCAGAGGCCTCAATGGGCTCTCAAATATTCCCTTTCATATTCTACTAAATGGCTGTATCGAAGCTGCTCAATCAAAAGACGGGTTTAACAGTGTGAGACGAAAATACACCTTCCTAGGAAGTTTCTCAGAATTCTTCTTTCTAGGTTTTTATGTGAAGATATTTCGTTTTCCACTATAGGCCTCAAAGCGTTCCAAATATCCACTTGCAGATCCTACAAATAGAGCCTTTCAAAACTGCTCAATCAAAAGAAAGGTTCAACTCTGTGAGATGAATGCAGACATCAAAAAGAAGTTTCTCAGAATGCTTCCGCCTTGTTTTTATGTGAAGATATTTCCTTTTTCACCATAGGCCTCAAAGCACTGGTAATATCCATTTGCAGATACTACAAAAAGACTGTTCCCAAACTGCTCAATAAAAAGAAATTTTCAACTCTATGAGATAAAAGCTAATATCACAAAGAAGTTTCTCAGAAACTTTCTATCTGGTTTTTATGTGAACATATTTCCTATCGCCCCATAGGCCTCAATCGGCTCACAAATATCCTTCTGCAGCTTATACAAAACGACTGTTTCCAAACCATTCAATCACAGGAAGGGTTCAACTCTGTGAAATGAATGCACCCATCACAGAAAAATTTCTCAGAATGCTTCCGTCTCGTTTTTATGTGAAGAAGATTCCTTTTCCACCATATTCCTCATGTGCTCCAAATAAACACTTGCAGATTCCGCTAAAAGAGTGTTTCAAAACTGCTCAATCAAAAGAAAGGTTCTAGTCGGTGAGATGAATGCACACATCACAAAGAAGTTTCTATGAATGCTTCTGTCTGATTTATATTGAAGATATTTCCTTTTTCACCGTAGGCCTCAGAGTGCTTAAAATATCCATTTGCAGATACTAGAAAAGACTGTTTCCAAACTGCTCAATCAAAATAAAGTTCAACTCAGTGAGATGAATGCACACATCACCAAGACGTTTCTGAGAAAGATTATCTGTCTAGTTTTTATGTGAAGATATTTCCTAATTCCCCAGTGGCATCAATGGGCTCACAAATATTCCTTTGCATATTCTACAAAATGACTGTTTAGAAGGTGCTCAGTCAAAAAAAAAAAGTGCAACACTGTGAGATGAACGTGCACATTCAAAGGAAGTTTCTCAGAATTCTTCTATCTAGTTTTTATGTGAAGATATTTCCTTTTTCACTGTAGGCCAGAAAGTGCTCCAAATATCCACTTGCAGACTCTACAAAACGAATGTATCCACACTGCTCAATCAAAAGAAAATTTCAACTGTGCGAGATGAATGCACACATCAAAATAAATTTCTCCAAAACTTCTGCCTACTTTTTATGGGAAGATATTTCGTTTTTCAACGTAGGCCAAAAGCGCTCCAAATATCAATTTGCAGATTCTACAAAAAGACTGTTTCCAAACTGCTCAATCAACAGAAAGTTTCAACCCGGTGAGTAGAAGTCACACATGACAAAATAGTTTCTCAGAAAGTAGCTGTCTAGTTTTTATGGGAAGAGATTTCCTTTTCCACCATAGGCCTCAAAGCTCTCCAAATATCCATTTGCAGATACTGTAAAAAGACTGTTTCCAAACTGCTGAATCAAAAGAAAGGTTGAACTCCATGAGTTGAATGCACACGTCACAAAGAAGTTTCTCAGAATGCTTCTGACTACTTTTTATGTGAAGATATTTTCTTTTCCACCATAGGCCTCAAAGCGCTGAAAATATCCACTTGAAGATTCTACAGAAAGAGAGTTTCAAAACTGCTCAAACAAAAGAAAGATTCAACTCTGTGAGATGAATGCACACATCACAAAGAAGTTTCTCAGAATGCTTCTGTCTAGTTTTAAGTAAAGATATTTCCTTTTCTACTATAGGTCACAAAGCACTCCAAATATCAACTTGCAGATTCTGCAGAAAGAGTTTTTCAAAGCTACTCAATCAAAAGAAAAGTTCAACTCTTTGAGATGAATGCACACATCATGAAGTTCCTCAAAATGCTTCTATTTTTATGTGAAGATATATCCTTTTCTACCATAGACCACAAAATGCTCCAAATATCTCCTTGCAGTTTCTACTAAAAGAGTGTTTCCAAACGGCTCAATCAAAAGAAAGTTTCAACTCTGTGAGATGAATGCACACATCATTAAGAAGTTTCTCAGTAATTTTCTGTCTAGTTTTTATGTGAAGATATTTCCTTTCCTACTATAGGCCTGAAAGTGCTCCAAATATCCATTTGCATATACTGCAAAAAGACTGTTTCCAAACTGCTCAATCAAAGGAAAGGTCCAACTCTGTGAGTTGAATGCACGCATCTCAAAGAGATTTCTCAGAATGGTTCTGTCTAGTTTTTATGTGAAGATATTTGCTTTTCCACCAGTGGCCTCAAACTCTCCAAATATCCACTTGCAGATTGTACAATAAGAGTGTTTCAAAACTGCTCAATCAAAAGAAAGGTTTAACTCTGTGAGATGAATGTACACCTCACAAAGCACTTTCTCAGAATGCATCTGTCTAGTTTTTATGTGAAGATATTTCGTTTTTCACCATAGGCCGCAAGGCGTTCCAAATATCCCCTTCAGATTCTACAGAAAGAGTGTTTCAAAACTGTTCAATCAAAAGAAAGGTTCAACCCTGGTGATGAATGCACGCATCACAGAGCAGTTTCTCATAATGTTTCTGTCTAGTTTTTATGTGAAGATATTTCATTCTCCACTATAGGCCGTAATGCACTCCTAATATCCACTTGCAGATTCTACAAAAAGACTGTTTGCAAACTGCTCAAACAAAAGAAAAGATCAACTCTGTGAGTTGAATGAGCACATCACAAAGAGGTTTCTCTGAATGCTTCTGTCTAGTTTTTATGTGAATATATTTCCTTTTCCACTATAGGCCGTAATGCGCTCCAAATATCCACCTGCAGATTCTACAGAAAGACTGTTTCCAAACTGCTCAATCAAAAGAAAAGCTCAACTCTGTGAGTTGAATGAGCACATCACAAAGAAGTTTCTCAGAATGCTTCTATCTAGTTTTTATGTGAATATATTTCCTTTTCCACCACAGGCCACAAACACTCCAAATATCCACTTGAAGATTCTACAAAAAGAGTGCTTCAAAAATGGTCAATCAAAAGAAAGGTTCAACTCTTTGAGATGGATGCACACATCACAAAGAAGCTTCTCAGAATGTTTCTGTCTAGTTTTTTTGTGAAGATATTTCCTTTTCCACCGTAGTCCTCAAGTCTCTCCAAATATCTACTTTCAGAATCTCCAAAAAGAGTGTTTCAAAACTGCTGTACCAAAGAAAGTTTCATGTCTGATTTATGACTGCATACAACACAGAGAACTTTCTCAAAGTGCTTCTGTTTATTTTTTTTATGAAGATATTTCCTTTTCCACTATGGGCCACAGAGCGCTCCAAATATCCACTGGCAGATTCTACAAAAAGAGTGTTTCAAAACTGCTCAATCAATAGAAAGTTTGAAGTCTGTGAGATGAATGCACACATCACATAGGAGTTTCTAAGAATGCTTCCATCTGAATTTTATGTGAGGATATTTCCTTTTTCACCATAGGCCTCAGTACACTCCAAATATCCATTTACAGATAATACAAATGACTGTATCCAAACTGCTCAATCAAAAGAAAGTTCAACTTTGTATGATGAATGCACACATCACAAGGGTGTTTCTCAGAAAGTTTTTGTCTAGTTTTTAGGTGAAGATATTTCTTATTTCCCCAGAGGCCTCAATGGGCTCTCAAATATACCCTTTCATATTCTACTAAATGGCTGTATCGAAGCTGCTCAATCAAAAGACGGGTTTAACAGTGTGAGACGAAAATACACCTTCCTAGGAAGTTTCTCAGAATTCTTCTTTCTAGTTTTTTATGTGAAGATATTTCCTTTTCCACTATAGGCCTCAAAGCGTTCCAAATATCCACTTGCAGATACTACAAATAGAGCGTTTCAAAACTGCTCAATCAAAAGAAAGTTTCAACACTGCGAGATGAATGCAGACATGAAAAAGAAGCTTCTCAGAATGCTTCTGCCTTGTTTTTATGTGAAGATATTTCCTTTTTCACCATAGGCCTCAAAGCACTGGTAATATCCATTTGCAGATACTACAAAAAGACTGTTCCCAAACTGCTCAATAAAAAGAAAGTTTCAACTCTAGGAGATAAAAGCAAATATCACAAAGAAGTTTCTCAGAAACTTTCTATCTAGTTTTTATGTGAACATATTTCTTATCACCCCATAGACCTCAATCGGCTCACAAGTATCCTTCTGCAGATTGTAAAAAAATACTGTTTCCAAACCGCTCAATCACAGGAAAGGTTTAACTCTGTGAAATGAATGCATCCATCACAGAGAAGTTTCTCAGAATGCTTCCGTCTCGTTTTCATGTGAAGAAGATTCCTTTTCCACCATATTCCTCATGCGCTCCAAATAAACACTTGCAGATTCCGCTAAAAGAGTGTTTCAAAACTGCTCAATCAAAAGAAAGGTTCTAGTCGGTGAGATGAATGCACACATCACAAAGAAGTTTCTATGAATGCTTCTGTCTGATTTATATTGAAGATATTTCCTTTTTCACCGTAGGCCTCAGAGTGCTTAAAATATCCATTTGCAGATACTAGAAAAGACTGTTTCCAAACTGCTCAATCAAAATAAAGTTCAACTCAGTGAGATGAATGCACACATCACCAAGACGTTTCTGAGAAAGATTCTGTCTCGTTTTTATGTGAAGATATTTCCTGTTTCCCCAGAAGCATCAATGGGCTCACAAATATTCCTTTGCATATTCTACAAAATGACTGTTTAGAAGGTGCTCAATCAAAAAAAAAGTTCAACAGTGTGAGATGAATGCGCCCACTCAAAGGAAGTTTCTCAGAATTCTTCTATCTAGTTTTTATGTGAAGATATTTCCTTTTTCTCTATAGGCCACAAAGTGCTCCAAATATCCACTTGCAGACTCTACAAAACGAGTGTATCCACACTGCTCAATCAAAAGAAAATTTCAACTGTGTGAGATGAGTGCACACATCAAAATAAATTTCTCCAAAACTTCTGCCTACTTTTTATGGGAAGATATTTCGTTTTTCAACGTAGGCCAAAAGCACTCCAAATATCAATTTGCAGATTCTACAAAAAGACTGTTTCCAAACTGCTCAATCAACAGAAAGTTTCAACCCGGTGAGTAGAAGTCACACATGACAAAATAGTTTCTCAGAAAGTAGCTGTCTAGTTTTTATGAGAAGAGATTTCCTTTTCCACCATAGGCGTCAAAGCTCTCCAAATAGCCATTTGCAGATACTGTAAAAAGACTGTTTCCAAACTGCTGAATCAAAAGAAAGGTTGAACTCCATGAGTTGAATGCACACGTCACAAAGAAGTTTCTCAGAATGCTTCTGACTAGTTTTTATGTGAAGATATTTTCTTTTCCACCGTAGGCCTCAAAGCGCTGAAAATATCCACTTGAAGATTCTACCAAAAGAGAGTTTCAAAACTGCTCAAACAAAAGAAAGATTGAACTCTGTGAGATGAATGCACACATCACAAAGAAGTTTCTCAGAATGCTTCTGTCTAGTTTTATGTAAAGATATTTCCTTTTCTACTATAGGCCACAAAGCACCCCAAATATCAACTTGCAGATTCTGCAGAAAGAGTTTTTCAAAGCTGCTCAATCAAAAGAAAAGTTCAACTCTTTGAGATGAATGTACACATCAGGAAGTTCCTCAGAATGCTTCTATTTTTATGTGAAGATATATCCTTTTCTACCATAGACCACAAAACGCTCCAAATATCCCCTTGCAGTTTCTACTAAAAGAGTGTTTCCAAACGGCTCAATCAAAAGAAAGTTTCAACTCTGTGAGATGAATGCACACATCATTAAGAAGTTTCTCAGTAATTTTCTGTCTAGTTTTTATGTGAAGATATTTCCTTTCCTACTATAGGCCTGAAAGTGCTCCAAATATCCGTTTGCAGATACTGCAAAAAGACTGTTTCCAAACTGCTCAATCAAAGGAAATGTCCAACTCTGTGAGTTGAATGCACGCATCTCAAAGAGATTACTTATAATGATTCTCTCTAGTTTTTATGTGAAGATATTTGCTTTTCCACCAGTGGCCTCAAACTCTCCAAATATCCACTTGCAGATTGTACAATAAGAGTGTTTCAAAACTGCTCAATCCAAAGAAAGGTTTAACTCTGTGAGATGAATGCACACATCACAAACCACCTTCTCAGAATGCTTCTGTCTAGCTTATATGTGAAGATATTTCTTTTTCACCATAGGCTGCAAAGCGCTCCAAATATCCCTTTCAGATTCTACAGAAAGAGTGTTTCAAAACTGTTCAATCAAAAGAGAAATTCAACTCTGGTGATGAATGCACGCATCACAAAGCAGTTTCTCATAATGTTTCTGTCTAGTTTTTATGTGAAGATATTTCATTTTCCACTATAGGCCGTAATGCACTCCTAATATCCACTTGCAGATTCTACAAAAAGACTGTTTCCAAACTGCTCAAACAGAAGAAAAGTTCAACTCTGTGAGTTGAATGAGCACATCACGAAGAAGTTTCTCAGAATGCTTCTGTCTAGTTTTTATGTGAATATATTTCCTTTTCCACTATAGGCCGTCATGCGCTCCAAATATCCACTTGCAGATTCTACAAAAAGACTGTTTCCAAACTGCTCAATCAAAAGAAAAGCTCAACTCTGTGAGTTGAATGAGGACATCACAAAGAAGTTTCTCAGAATGCTTCTATCTAGTTTTTATGTGAATATATTTCCTTTTCCACCACAGGCCACAAACACTCCAAATATCCACTTGAAGTTTCTACAAAAAGAGTGCTTCAAAAATGCTCAATGAAAAGAAAGGTTCAACTCTTTGAGATGGATGCACACATCACAAAGAAGCTTCTCAGAATGTTCCTGTCTAGTTTTTTTGTGAAGATATTTCCTTTTCCACCGTAGTCCTCAAGTCTCTCCAAATATCTACTTTCAGAATCTCCAAAAAGAGTGTTTTAAAACTGCTGTACCAAAGACATTTTCATGTCTGAGATATGACTGCATACAACACAGAGAAGTTTCTCAAAGTGCTTCTGTTTATTTTTTTTATGAAGATATTTCCTTTTCCACTATTGGCCACAGAGCGCTCCAAATATCCACTGGCAGATTCTACAAAAAGAGTGTTTCAAAACTGCTCAATCAATAGAAAGTTTGAAGTCTGTGAGATGAATGCACACATCACAAAGGAGTTTCTAAGAATGCTTCCATCTGAATTTTATGTGAGGATATTTCCTTTTTCACCATAGGCCTCAGTACACTCCAAATACCCATTTACAGATAATACAAATGACTGTATCCAAACTGCTCAATCAAAAGAAAGTTCAACTGTGTATGATGAATGCACACAACACAAGGGTATTTCTCAGAAAGTTTTTGTCTAGTTTTTAGGTGAAGATATTTCTTATTTCCCCAGAGGCCTCAATGGGCTCTCAAATATTCCCTTTCATATTCTACTAAATGACTGTATCAAAGCTGCTCAATCAAAAGACAGGTTTAACAGTGTGAGACGAAAATACACCTTCCTAGGAAGTTTCTCAGAATTCTTCTTTCTAGTTTTTTATGTGAAGATATTTCCTTTTCCACTATAGGCCTCAAAGCGTTCCAAATATCCACTTGCAGATACTACAAATAGAGCTTCTCAAAACTGCTCAATCAAAAGAAAGGTTCAACTCTGAGAGATGAATGCAGACATCAAATATAAGTTTCTCAGAATGCTTCCGCCTTGTTTTTATGTGAAGATATTTCCTTTTTCACCATAGGCCTCAAAGCACTGGTAATATCCATTTGCAGATACTACAAAAAGACTGTTCCCAAACTGCTCAATAAAAAGAAAGTTTCAACTCTAGGAGATAAAAGCAAATATCACAAAGAAGTTTCTCAGAAACTTTCTATCTAGTTTTTATGTGAACATATTTCTTATCACCCCATAGACCTCAATCGGCTCACAAGTATCCTTCTGCAGATTGTAAAAAACTACTGTTTCCAAACCGCTCAATCACAGGAAAGTTTTAACTCTGTGAAATGAATGCATCCATCACAGAGAAGTTTCTCAGAATGCTTCCGTCTCGTTTTCATGTGAAGAAGATTCCTTTTCCACCATATTCCTCATGCGCTCCAAATAAACACTTGCAGATTCCGCTAAAAGAGTGTTTCAAAACTGCTCAACCAAAAGAAAGGTTCTAGTCGGTGAGATGAATGCACACATCACAAAGAAGTTTCTATGAATGCTTCTGTCTGATTTATATTGAAGATATTTCCTTTTTCACCGTAGGCCTCAGAGTGCTTAAAATATCCATTTGCAGATACTAGAAAAGACTGTTTCCAAACTGCTCAATCAAAGTAAAGTTCAACTCAGTGAGATGAATGCACACATCACAAAGACGTTTCTGAGAAAGATTCTGTCTAGTTTTTATTTGAAGATATTTCCTATTTCCCCAGAGGCATCAATGGGCTCACAAATATTCCTTTGCATATTCTACAAAATGACTGTTTAGAAGCTGCTCAATCAAGAAAAAAGTTCAACACTGTGAGATGAATGCACACATTCAAAGGAAGTTTCTCAGAATTCTTCTATCTAGTTTTTATGTGAAGATATTTCCTTTTTCACTATAGGCCACAAAGTGCTCCAAATATCCACTTGCAGACTCTACAAAACGAGTGTATCCACACTGCTCAATCAAAAGAAAATTTCAACTGTGTGAGATGAATGCACACATCAAAATAAATTTCTCCAAAACTTCTGCCTACTTTTTATGGGAAGATATTTCGTTTTTCAACGTAGGCCAAAAGCACTCCAAATATCAATTTGCAGATTCTACAAAAAGACTGTTTCCAAACTGCTCAATCAAGAGAAAGTTTCAACCCGGTGAGTAGAAGTCACACATGACAAAATAGTTTCTCAGAAATTATCTGTCTAGTTTTTACGTGAAGATATTTCCTATCACCCCAGAAGCCTCAATGGGCTCACAAATATTCCTTTGCAGATTCTACAAAAAGGCAGTTTCAAAACTGCTGAATCAAAAGAAAGGTTCAACTCTGGGAGATGAATGCACAGATCACAAATAAGTTTCTCAGAATGCTGCTGCCTAGTTTTAATGGGAAGAGATTTCCTTTTCCACCATAGGCCTCAAAGCTCTCCAAATAGCCATTTGCAGATACTGTAAAAAGACTGTTTCCAAACTGCTGAATCAAAAGAAAGGTTGAACTCCATGAGTTGAATGCACACGTCATAAAGAAGTTTCTCAGAATGGTTCTGACTAGTTTTTATGGGAAGATATTTTCTTTTCCAAGATAGGCCTCAAAGCGCTGAAAATATCCACTTGAAGATTCTACAGAAAGAGAGTTTCAAAACTGCTCAAACAAAAGAAAGATTCAACTCTGTGAGATGAATGCACACATCACAAAGAAGTTTCTCAGAATACTTCTGTCTAGTTTTAAGTAAAGATATTTCCTTTTCTACTATAGGCCACAAAGCGCTCCAAATATCAACTTGCAGATTCTGCAGAAAGGGTTTTTCAAAGCTGCTCAATCAAAAGAAAATTTCAACTCTTTGAGATGAATGCACACATCAGGAAGTTCCTCAGAATGCTTCTGTCTATTTTTAATGTGAAGATATATCCTTTTCTACCAAAGACCACAAAGTGCTCCAAATATCCCCTTGCAGTTTCTACTAAAAGAGTGTTTCCAAACTGCTCAATCAAAAGAAAGTTTCAACTCTGTGAGATGAATGCACACATCACTGAGAAATTTCTCAGTAATTTTCTGTCTAGTTTTTATGTGAAGATATTTCCTTTCCTACTATAGGCCTGAAAGTGCTCCAAATATCCGCTTGCAGATACTGCAAAAAGACTGTTTCCAAACTGCTCAATCAAAGGAAATGTCCAACTCTGTGAGTTGAATGCACGCATCTCAAAGAGATTACTTATAATGATTCTGTCTGGTTTTGATGTGAAGATATTTGCTTTTCCACCAGTGGCCTCAAACTCTCCAAATATCCACTTGCAGATTCTACAATAAGAGTGTTTCAAAACTGCTCAATCAAAAGAAAGGTTCAACACTGTGAGATGAATGCACACGTCACAAAGCACTTTCTTAGAATGCTTCTGTCTAGCTTTTATGTGAAGATATTTCCTTTTTCACCATAGGCTGCAAAGCGCTCCAAATATCCCTTTCAGATTCTACAGAAAGAGTGTTTCAAAACTGTTCAATCAAAAGAGAAACTCAACTCTGGTGATGAATGCACGCATCACAAAGCAGTTTCTCATCATGTTTCTGTCTATTTTTTATGTGAAGTTATTTCATTTTCCACTATAGGCCGTAATGCACTCCTAATATCCACTTGCAGATTCTACAAAAAGACTGTTTGCAAACTGCTCAAACAAAAGAAAAGTTCAACTCTGTGAGTTGAATGAGCACATCACAAAGAAGTTTCTCAGAATGCTTCTGTCTAGTTTTTATGTGAATATATTTCCTTTTCCACTATAGGCCGTCATGCGCTCCAAATATCCACTTGCAGATTCTACAAAAAGACTGTTTCCAAACTGCTCAATCAAAAGAAAAGCTCAACTCTGTGAGTTGAATGAGCACATCACAAAGAAGTTTCTCAGAATGCTTCTATCTAGTTTTTATGTGAATATATTTCCTTTTCCACCAGAGGCCACAAACACTCCAAATAACCACTTGAAGATTCTACAAAAAAAGTGCTTCAAAAATGCTCAATCAAAAGAAAGGTTCAACTCTTCGAGATGGACGCACACATCACAAAGAAGCTTCTCAGAATGTTTCTGTCTAGTTTTTTTGTGAAGATGTTTCCTTTTCCACCGTAGTCCTCAAGTCTCTCCAAATATCTACTTTCAGAATCTCCAAAAAGAGTGTTTTAAAACTGCTGTACCAAAGAAATTTTCATGTCTGAGATATGACTGCATACAACACAGAGAAGTTTCTCAAAGTGCTTCTGTTTATTTTTTTTATGAAGATATTTCCTTTTCCACTATGGGCCACAGAGCGCTCCAAATATCCACTTGCAGATTCTACAAAAAGAGTGTTTCAAACCTGCTCAATCAAAAGGAAGATTTTACTCTATGAGATGAATGGACACATCACAGAGAAGTTTCTCAATATGCTTCCATCTGAATTTTATGTGAGGATATTTCCTTTTTCACCATAGGCCTCAGTACACTCCAAATACCCATTTACAGATAATACAAATGACTGTATCCAAACTGCTCAATCAAAAGAAAGTTCAACTGTGTATGATGAATGCACACAACACAAGGGTGTTTCTCAGAAAGTTTTTGTCTAGTTTTTAGGTGAAGATATTTCCTACTTTCCAAGAGGCCTCAATGGGCTCGCAAATATTCTCTTTCAGATTCTACTAAATGACTGTATCGAAGCTGCTCAATCAAAAGAAAGGTTCAACAGTGTGAGAAGAAAGCACACATTCCTAGGAAGTTTCTCAGAACTCTGCTGTCTAGTTTTTATTGGAAGATGTGTCCTTTTCCCCCATAGGCCTGAAAGTGCCCCAAATATCCACTTGCAGATTGTACAAAAAGACTGTTTCAAAACTGCTCAATCAAAAGAAAAGTTCAAATCTGTGAGATGAAAGCACACATCAGAAAGAAGTTTCTCAGAAAGTTTCTGCCTTGTATTTATGGGAAGATATTTCCTTTTTCACCATAGGTCTCAAAGCACTGGTAATATCCATTTCCAGATACTACAAAAAGACTTTTCCCAAACTGCTCAATCAAAAGAAAGTTTTAACTCTGTGAGATGAAAGCAAATATCACAAAGAAGTGTCTCAGAAATTTTCTATCTAGTTTTTATGTGAACATATTTCTTATCACCCCATAGACCTCAATCAGCTCACAAGTATCCTTCTGCAGATTGTAAAAAACTACTGTTTCCAAACCGCTCAATCACAGGAAAGGTTTAACTCTGTGAAATGAATGCATCCATCACAGAGAAGTTTCTCAGAATGCTTCCGTCTCGTTTTTATGTGAAGAAGATTCCTTTTCCACCATATTCCTCATGCGCTCCAAATAAACACTTGCAGATTCCGCTAAAAGAGTGTTTCAAAACTGCTCAATGAAAAGAAAGGTTCTAGTCGGTGAGATGTATGCACACATCACAAAGAAGTTTCTATGAATGCTTCTGTCTGATTTATATTGAAGATATTTCCTTTTTCACCGTAGGCCTTAGAGTGCTTAAAATATCCATTTGCAGATACTAGAAAAGACTGTTTCCAAACTGCTCAATCAAATTAAAGTTCAACTCAGTGAGATGAATGCACACATCACCAAGACGTTTCTGATAAAGATTCTGTCTCGTTTTTATGTGAAGATATTTCCTGTTTCCCCAGAGGCATCAATGGGCTCACAAATATTCCTTTGCATATTCTACAAAATGACTGTTTAGAAGGTGCTGAATCAAAAAAAAAGTTCAACAGTGTGAGATGAATGCGCCCATTCAACGGAAGTTTCTCAGAATTCTTCTATCTAGTTTTTATGTGAAGATATTTCCTTTTTCACTGTAGGCCACAAAGTGCTCCAAATATCCACTTGCAGACTCTACAAAACGAATGTATCCACACTGCTCAATCAAAAGAAAATTTCAACTGTGCGAGATGAATGCACACATCAAAATAAATTTCTCCAAAACTTCTGCCTACTTTTTATGGGAAGATATTTCGTTTTTCAACGTAGGCCAAAAGCACTCCAAATATCAATTTGCAGATTCTACAAAAAGACTGTTTCCAAACTGCTCAATCAAGAGAAAGTTTCAACCCGGTGAGTAGAAGTCACACACGACAAAATAGTTTCTCAGAAAGTAGCTGTCTAGTTTTTATGAGAAGAGATTTCCTTTTCCACCATAGGTGTCAAAGCTCTCCAAATAGCCATTTGCAGATACTGTAAAAAGACTGTTTCCAAACTGCTGAATCAAAAGAAAGGTTGAACTCCATGAGTTGAATGCACACGTCACAAAGAAGTTTCTCAGAATGCTTCTGACTAGTTTTTATGTGAAGACATTTTCTTTTCCACCATAGGCCTCAAAGTGCTAAAAATATACACTTGAAGATTCTACAAAAAGAGAGTTTCAAAACTGCTCAAACAAAAGAAAGTTTCAACTCTGTGACATGAGTGCACACATCACAAAGAAGTTTCTCAGAATGCTTCTGTCTAGTTTTAAGTAAAGATATTTCCTTTTCTACTATAGGCCACAAAGCGCTCCAAATATCAACTTGCAGATTCTGCAGAAAGGGTTTTTCAAAGCTGCTCAATCAAAAGAAAAGTTCAACTCTTTGAGATGAATGCACACATCAGGAAGTTCCTCAGAATGCTTCTATTTTTATGTGAAGATATATCCTTTTCTACCATAGACCACAAAACGCTCCAAATATCCCCTTGCAGTTTCTACTAAAATAGTGTTTCCAAACGGCTCAATCAAAAGAAAGTTTCAACTTTGTGAGATGAATGCACACATCACAAAGAAGTTTCTCAGAATGCTTCTGTCTAGTTTTTATGTGAAGATATTTCCTTTCCTACTATAGGCCTGAAAGTGCTCCAAATATCCGCTTGCAGATACTGCAAAAAGACTGTTTCCAAACTGCTCAATCAAAGGAAACGTCCAACTCTGTGAGTTGAATGCACGCATCTCAAAGAGATTACTTATAATGATTCTGTCTAGTTTTGATGTGAAGATATTTGCTTTTCCACCAGTGGCCTCAAACTCTCCAAATATCCACTTGCAGATTCTACAATAAGAGTGTTTCAAAACTGCTCATTCAAAAGAAAGGTTCAACACTGTGAGATGAATGCACACATCACAAAGCACTTTCTTAGAATGCTTCTGTCTAGCTTTTATGTGAAAATATTTCCTTTTTCACCATAGGCTGCAAAGCGCTCCAAATATCCCTTTCAGATTCTACAGAAAGAGTGTTTGAAAACTGTTCAATCAAAAGAGAAACTCAACTCTGGTGATGAATGCACACATCACAAAGCAGTTTCTCATAATGTTTCTGTCTAGTTTTAATGTGAAGATATTTCATTCTCCACTATAGGCCGTAATGCACTCCTAATATCCACTTGCAGATTCTACAAAAAGACTGTTTGCAAACTGCTCAAACAAAAGAAAAGTTCAACTCTGTGAGTTGAATGAGCACATCACAAAGAAGTTTCTCAGAATGCTTCTGTCTAGTTTTTATGTGAATATATTTCCTTTTCCACTATAGGCCGTCATGCGCTCCAAATATCCACGTGCAGATTCTACAAAAAGACTGTTTCCAAACTGCTCAATCAAAAGAAAAGCTCAACTCTGTGAGTTGAATGAGCACATCACAAAGAAGTTTCTCAGAATGCTTCTATCTAGTTTTTATGTGAATATATTTCCTTTTCCACCACAGGCCACAAACACTCCAAATATCCACTTGAAGATTCTACAAAAAGAGTGCTTCAAAAATGCTCAATCAAAAGAAAGGTTCAACTCTTTGAGATGGATGCACACATCACAAAGAAGCTTCTCAGAATGTTTCTGTCTAGTTTTTTTGTGAAGATATTTCCTTTTCCAACGTAGTCCTCAAGTCTCTCCAAATATCTACTTTCAGAATCTCCAAAAAGAGTGTTTTAAAACTGCTGTACCAAAGAAAGCTTCATGTCTGAGATATGACTGCATACAACACAGAGAACTTTCTCAAAGTGCTTCTTTTTATTTTTTTTATGAAGATATTTCCTTTTCCACTATGGGCCACAGAGCGCTCCAAATATCCACTTGCAGATTCTACAAAAAGAGTGTTTCAAAACTGCTCAATCAATAGAAAGTTTGAAGTCTGTGAGATGAATGCACACATCACAAGGGAGTTTCTGAGAATGCTTCCATCTGAATTTTATGTGAGGATATTTCCTTTTTCACCATAGGCCTCAGTACACTCCAAATATCCATTTACAGATAATACAAATGACTGTATCCAAACTGCTCAATCAAAAGAAAGTTCAACTGTGTATGATGAATGCACACATCACAAGGGTGTTTCTCAGAAAGATTTTGTCTAGTTTTTAGGTGAAGATATTTCTTATTTCCCCAGAGGCCTCAATGGGCTCTCAAATATTCCCTTTCATATTCTACTAAATGACTGTATCGAAGCTGCTCAATCAAAAGACGGGTTTAACAGTGTGAGACGAAAATACACCTTCCTAGGATGTTTCTCAGAATTCTTCTTTCTAGTTTTTTATGTGAAGATATTTCCTTTTCCACTATAGGCCTCAAAGCGTTCCAAATATCCACTTGCAGATACTACAAATAGAGCGTTTCAAAACTGCTCAATCAAAAGAAAGGTTCAACTCTGCGAGATGAATGCAGACATCAAAAAGAAGTTTCTCAGAATGCTTCTGCCTTGTTTTTATGTGAAGATATTTCCTTTTTCACCATAGGCCTCAAAGCACTGGCAATATCCATTTGCAGATACTACAAAAAGACTGTTCCCAAACTGCTCAATAAAAAGAAAGTTTCAACTCTATGAGATAAAAGCAAATATCACAAAGAAGTTTCTCAGAAACTTTCTATCTAGTTTTTATGTGAACATA
Source organism: Homo sapiens (assembly GCF_000001405.40). Classification (NCBI taxonomy): domain Eukaryota; kingdom Metazoa; phylum Chordata; class Mammalia; order Primates; family Hominidae; genus Homo; species Homo sapiens. Next base: position 16,193,550 of record NC_000014.9, on the reverse strand, counting down.
TTTCTTATCACCCCATAGACCTCAATCGGCTCACAAGTATCCTTCTGCAGACTGTAAAAAACTACTGTTTCCAAACCGCTCAATCACAGGAAAGGTTTAACTCTGTGAAATGAATGCATCCATCACAGAGAAGTTTCTCAGAATGCTTCCGTCCGTTTTCATGTGAAGAAGATTCCTTTTCCACCATATTCCTCATGCGCTCCAAAGAAACACTTGCAGATTCCGCTAAAAGAGTGTTTCAAAACTGCTCAATCAAAAGAAAGGTTCTAGTCAGTGAGATGAATGCACACATCACAAAGAAGTTTCTATGAATGCTTCTGTCTGATTTATATTGAAGATATTTCCTTTTTCACCGTAGGCCTCAGAGTGCTTAAAATATCCATTTGCAGATACTAGAAAACACTGTTTCCAAACTGCTCAATCAAAGTAAAGTTCAACTCAGTGAGATAAATGCACACATCACCAAGACGTTTCTGAGAAAGATTCTGTCTAGTTTTTATTTGAAGATATTTCCTATTTCCCCAGGAGGCATCAATGGGCTCACAAATATTCCTTTGCATATTCTACAAAATGACTGTTTAGAAGCTGCTCAATCAAGAAAAAAGTTCAACACTGTGAGATGAATGCACACATTCAAAGGAAGTTTCTCAGAATTCTTCTATCTAGTTTTTATGTGAAGATATTTCCTTTTTCACTATAGGCCACAAAGTGCTCCAAATATCCACTTGCAGACTCTACAAAACGAGTGTATCCACACTGCCCAATCAAAAGAAAATTTCAACTGTGTGAGATGAATGCACACATCAAAATAAATTTCTCCAAAACTTCTGCCTACTTTTTATGGGAAGATATTTCGTTTTTCAACGTAGGCCAAAAGCGCTCCAAATATCAATTTGCAGATTCTACAAAAAGACTGTTTCCAAACTGCTCAATCAAGAGAAAGTTTCTACCCGGTGAGTAGAAGTCACACATGACAAAATAGTTTCTCAGAAAGTATCTGTCTAGTTTTTACGTGAAGATATTTCCTATCACCCCAGAAGCCTCAATGGGCTCACAAATATTCCTTTGCAGATTCTACAAAACGACAGTTTCAAAACTGCTGAATCAAAAGAAAGGTTCAACTCTGGGAGATGAATGCACAGATCACAAATGAGTTTCTCAGAATGCTGCTGTCTACTTTTTATGGGAAGATATTTCCTTTTCCACCATAGGCCTCAAAGCTCTCCAAATAGCCATTTGCAGATACTGTAAAAAGACTGTTTCCAAACTGCTGAATCAAAAGAAAGGTTGAACTCCATGAGTTGAATGCACACGTCACAAAAATTTCCCAGAATGCTTCTGGCTAGTTTTTATGTGAAGATATTTTCTTTTCCACCATAAGCCTCAAAGCATTGAAAATATCCACTTGAAGATTCTACAAAAAGAGAGTTTCAAAACTGCTCAAACAAAAGAAAGATTCAACTCTGTGAGATGAATGCACACATCACAAAGAAGTTTCTCAGAATGCTTCTGTCTAGTTTTAAGTAAAGATATTTCCTTTTCTACTATAGGCCACAAAGCACTCCAAATATCAACTTGCAGATTCTGCAGAAAGAGTTTTTCAAAGCTGCTCAATCAAAAGAAAAGTTCAACTCTTTGAGATGAATGCACACATCATGAAGTTCCTCAGAATGCTTCTATTTTTATGTGAAGATATATCGTTTTCTACCATAGACCACAAAACTCTCCAAATATCCCCTTGCAGTTTCTACTAAAAGAGTGTTTCCAAACGGCTCAATCAAAAGAAAGTTTCAACTCTGTGAGATGAATGCACACATCATTAAGAAGTTTCTCAGTAATTTTGTGTCTAGTTTTTATGTGAAGATATTTCCTTTCCTACTATAGGCCTGAAAGTGCTCCAAATATCCGTTTGCAGATACTGCAAAAAGACTGTTTCCAAACTGCTCAATCAAAGGAAATGTCCAACTCTGTGAGTTGAATGCACGCATCTCAAAGAGATTACTTATAATGATTCTGTCTAGTTTTGATGTGAAGATATTTGCTTTTCCACCAGTGGCCTCAAACTCTCCAAATATCCACTTGCAGATTCTACAATAAGAGTGTTTCAAAACTGCTTAATCAAAAGAAAGGTTCAACACTGTGAGATGAATGCACACGTCACAAAGCACTTTCTTAGAATGCTTCTGTCTAGCTTTTATGTGAAGATATTTCCTTTTTCACCATAGGCTGCAAAGCGCTGCAAATATCCCTTTCAGATTCTACAGAAAGAGTGTTTCAAAACTGTTCAATCAAAAGAGAAACTCAACTCTGGTGATGAATGCACGCATCACAAAGCAGTTTCTCATAATGTTTCTGTCTAGTTTTTATGTGAAGATATTTCATTTTCCACTATAGGCCGTAAGGCACTCCTAATATCCACTTGCAGATTCTACAGAAAGACTGTTTGCAAACTGCTCAAACAAAAGAAAAGTTCAACTCTGTGAGTTGAATGAGCACATCACAAAGAAGTTTCTCAGAATGCTTCTGTCTAGTTTTTATGTGAATATATTTCCTTTTCCACTATAGGCCATAATGCGCTCCAAATATCCACCTGCAGATTCTACAAAAAGAGTGTTTCCAAACTGCTCAATCAAAAGAAAAGCTCAACTCTGTGAGTTGAATGAGCACATCACAAAGAAGTTTCTCAGAATGCTTCTATCTAGTTTTTATGTGAATATATTTCCTTTTCCACCACAGGCCACAAACCCTCCAAATATCCACTTGAAGATTCTACAAAAAGAGTGCTTCAAAAATGCTCAATCAAAAGAAAGGTTCAACTCTTCGAGATGGACGCACACATCACAAAGAAGCTTCTCAGAATGTTTCTGTCTAGTTTTTTTGTGAAGATATTTCCTTTTCCACCGTAGTCCTCAAGTCTCTCCAAATATCTACTTTCAGAATCTCCAAAAAGAGTGTTTCAAAACTGCTGTACCAAAGAAAGTTTCATGTCTGATTTTATGACTGCATACAACACAGAGAACTTTCTCAAAGTGCTTCTGTTTATTTTTTTTATGAAGATATTTCCTTTTCCACTATTGGCCACAGAGCGCTCCAAATATCCACTGGCAGATTCTACAAAAAGAGTGTTTCAACACTGCTCAATCTATAGAAAGTTTGAAGTCTGTGAGATGAATGCACACATCACAAAGGAGTTTCTAAGAATGCTTCCATCTGAATTTTATGTGAGGATATTTCCTTTTTCACCATAGGCCTCAGTACACTCCAAATATCCATTTACAGATAATACAAATGACTGTATCCAAACTGCTCAATCAAAAGAAAGTTCAACTGTGCATGATGAATGCACACATCACAAGGGTGTTTCTCAGAAAGATTTTGTCTAGTTTTTAGGTGAAGATATTTCTTATTTCCCCAGAGGCCTCAATGGGCTCTCAAGTATTCCCTTTCATATTCTACTAAATGAGTGTATCGAAGCTGCTCAATCAAAAGACGGGTTTAACAGTGTGAGACGAAAATACACCTTCCTAGGAAGTTTCTCAGAATTCTTCTTTCTAGTTTTTTATGTGAAGATATTTCCTTTTCCACTATAGGCCTCAAAGCGTTCCAAATATCCACTTGCAGATACTACAAATAGAGCGTTTCAAAACTGCTCAATCAAAAGAAAGGTTCAACTCTGTGAGATGAATGCAGACATCAAAAAGAAGTTTCTCAGAATGCTTCTGCCTTGTTTTTATGAGAAGATATTTCCTTTTTCACCATAGGCCTCAAAGCACTGGTAATATCCATTTGCAGATACTACAAAAAGACTGTTCCCAAACTGCTCAATAAAAAGAAAGTTTCAACTCTAGGAGATAAAAGCAAATATCACAAAGAAGTTTCTCAGAAACTTTCTATCTAGTTTTTATGTGAACATATTTCTTATCATCCCATAGACCTCAATCGGCTCACAAGTATCCTTCTGCAGACTGTAAAAAACTACTGTTTCCAAACCGCTCAATCACAGGAAAGGTTTAACTCTGTGAAATGAATGCATCCATCACAGAGAAGTTTCTCAGAATGCTTCCGTCTCGTTTTCATGTGAAGAAGATTCCTTTTCCACCATATTCCTCATGCGCTCCAAAGAAACACTTGCAGATTCCGCTAAAAGAGTGTTTCAAAACTGCTCAATCAAAAGAAAGGTTCTAGTCGGTGAGATGAATGCACACATCACAAAGAAGTTTCTATGAATGCTTCTGTCTGATTTATATTGAAGATATTTCCTTTTTCACCGTAGGCCTCAGAGTGCTTAAAATATCCATTTGCAGATACTAGAAAAGACACTTTCCAAACTGCTCAATCAAAATAAAGTTCAACTCAGTGAGATGAATGCAAACATGACCAAGACGTTTCTGAGAAAGATTCTGTCTCGTTTTTATGTGAAGATATTTCCTGTTTCCGCAGAGGCATCAATGGGCTCACAAATATTCCTTTGCATATTCTACAAAATGACTGTTTAGAAGGTGCTCAATCAAAAAAAAAGTTCAACAGTGTGAGATGAATGCGCCCATTCAAAGGAAGTTTCTCAGAATTCTTCTATCTAGTTTTTATGTGAAGATATTTCCTTTTTCACTATAGGCCACAAAGTGCTCCAAATATCCACTTGTAGACCCTACAAAACGAGTGTATCCACACTGCCCAATCAAAAGAAAATTTCAACTGTGTGAGATGAATGCACACATCTAAATAAATTTTTACAAAACTTCTATCTAGTTTTTATGTGAACATATTTCCTATCACCCCATAGACCTCAATCGGCTCACAAGTATCCTTCTGCAGACTGTAAAAAACTACTGTTTCCAAACTGCTCAATCAAGAGAAAGTTTCAACCCGGTGAGTAGAAGTCACACATGACAAAATAGTTTCTCAGGATGTATCTGTCTAGTTTTTATGTGAAGATATTTTCTTTTCCACCATAGGCCTCAAAGCTCTCCAAATATCCATTTGCAGATACTACAAAAAGACTGTTTCCAAACTGCTGAATCAAAGGAAAGGTTCAACTCCATGAGTTGAATGCACACATCACAAAGAAGTTTCTCAGAAAGCTTCTGACTAGTTTTTATGTGAAGATATTTTCTTTTCCACCATAGGCCTCAAAGCGCTGAAAATATCCACTTGAAGATTCTACAGAAAGAGAGTTTCAAAACTGGTCAAACAAAAGAATGATTCAACTCTGTGAGATGAATGCACACTTCACAAAGCACTTTCTTAGAATGCTTCTGTCTAGTTTTATGTAAAGATATTTCCTTTTCTACTCTAGGCCACAAAGCACTCCAAATATCAACTTGCAGATTCTGCAGAAAGAGTTTTTCAAAGCTGCTCAATCAAAAGAAAAGTTCAACACTTTGAGATGAATGCACACATCATGAAGTTCCTCAGAATGCTTCTATTTTTATGTGAAGATATATCCTTTTCTACCATAGACCACAAAACGCTCCAAATATCCCCTTGCAGTTTCTACTAAAAGAGTGTTTCCAAACGGCTCAATGGAAAGAAAGTTTCAACTCTGTGAGATGAATGCACACATCATTAAGGAGTTTCTCAGTAATTTTCTGTCTAGTTTTTATGTGAAGATATTTCCTTTCCTACTATAGGCCTGAAAGTGCTGCAAATATCCGTTTGCAGATACTGCAAAAAGACTGTTTCCACACTGCTCAATCAAAGGAAATGTCCAACTCTGTGAGTTGAATGCACGCATCTCAAAGAGATTACTTCTAATGATTCTGTCTAGTTTTTATGTGAAGATATTTGCTTTTCCACCAGTGGCCTCAAACTCTCCAAATATCCACTTGCAGATTGTACAATAAGAGTGTTTCAAAACTGCTCAATCAAAAGAAAGGTTTAACTTCTGTGAGATGAATGTACACCTCACAAAGCACTTTCTCAGAATGCTTTCTGTCTATCTTTTATGTGAAGATATTTCCTTTTTCACCATAGGCTGCAAAGCGCTCCAAATATCCCTTTCAGATTCTACAGAAAGAGTGTTTCAAAACTGTTCAATCAAAAGAGAAACTCAACTCTGGTGATGAATGCACGCATCACAAAGCAGTTTCTCATCATGTTTCTGTCTAGTTTTTATGTGAATATATTTCCTTTTCCACTAAAGGCCGTCATGCGCTCCAAATATCCACTTGCAGATTCTACAAAAAGACTGTTTCCAAACTGCTCAATCAAAAGAAAAGCTCAACTCTGTGAGTTGAATGAGCACATCACAAAGAAGTTTCTCAGAATGCTTCTGTCTAGTTTTCATGTGAATATATTTCCTTTTCCACTATAGGCCGTCATGCGCTCCAAATATCCACTGGCAGATTCTACAAAAAGACTGTTTCCAAACTGCTCAATCAAAAGAAAATCTCAACTCTGTGAGTTGAATGAGCACATCACAAAAAAGTTTCTCAGAATGCTTCTATCTAGTTTTTATGTGAATATATTTCCTTTTCCACCAGAGACCACAAACACTCCAAATAACCACTTGAAGATTCTACAAAAAAAGTGCTTCAAAAATGCTCAATCAAAAGAAAGGTTCAACTCTTCGAGATGGACGCACACATCACAAAGAAGCTTCTCAGAATGTTTCTGTCTAGTTTTTTTGTGAAGATATTTCCTTTTCCACCGTAGTCCTCAAGTCTCTCCAAATATCTACTTTCAGAATCTCCAAAAAGAGTGTTTTAAAACTGCTGTACCAAAGAAAGTTTCATGTCTGAGATATGACTGCATACAACACAGAGAACTTTCTCAAAGTGCTTCTGTTTATTTTTCTTATGAAGATATTTCCTTTTCCACTATGGGCCACAGAGCGCTCCAAATATCCACTTGCAGATTCTACAAAAAGAGTGTTTCAAACCTGCTCAATCAAAAGGAAGATTTTACTCTATGAGATGAATGGACACATCACAGAGAAGTTTCTCAATATGCTTCCATCTGAATTTTATGTGAGGATATTTCCTTTTTCACCATAGGCCTCAGTACACTCCAAATATCCATTTACAGATAATACAAATGACTGTATCCAAACTGCTCAATCAAAAGAAAGTTCAACTCTGTATGATGAATGCACACATCACAAGGGTGTTTCTCAGAAAGATTTTGTCTTGTTTTTAGGTGAAGATATTTCTTATTTCCCCAGAGGCCTCAATGGGCTTTCAAATATTCCCTTTCATATTCTACTAAATGACTGTATCGAAGCTGCTCAATCAAAAGACGGGTTTAACAGTGTGAGACGAAAATACACCTTCCTAGGAAGTTTCTCAGAATTCTTCTTTCTAGTTTTTTATGTGAAGATATTTCCTTTTCCACTATAGGCCTCAAAGCGTTCCAAATATCCACTTGCAGATACCACAAATAGAGCGTTTCAAAACTGCTCAATCAAAAGAAAGGTTCAACTCTGTGAGATGAATGCAGACATCAAAAAGAAGTTTCTCAGAATGCTTCCGCGTTGTTTTTATGTGAAGATATTTCCTTTTCCACCATAGGCCTCAAAGCACTGGTAATATCCATTTGCAGATACTACAAAAAGACTGTCCCCAAACTGCTCAATAAAAAGAAAGTTTCAACTCTAGGAGATAAAAGCAAATATCACAAAGAAGTTTCTCAGAAACTTTCTATCTAGTTTTTATGTGAACATATTTCTTATCACCCCATAGACCTCAATCGGCTCACAAGTATCCTTCTGCAGATTGTAAAAAACTACTCTTTCTCAACCGCTCAATCACAGGAAAGGTTTAACTCTGTGAAATGAATGCATCCATCACAGAGAAGTTTCTGAGAATGCTTCCGTCCGTTTTCATGTGAAGAAGATTCCTTTTCCACCATATTCCTCATGCGCTCCAAAGAAACACTTGCAGATTCCGCTAAAAGAGTGTTTCAAAACTGCTCAATCAAAAGAAAGGTTCTAGTCGGTGAGATGAATGCACACATCACAAAGAAGTTTCTATGAATGCTTCTGTCTGATTTGTATTGAAGATATTTCCTTTTTCACCGTAGGCCTCAGAGTGCTTAAAATATCCATTTGCAGATACTAGTAAAGACTGTTTCCAAACTGCTCAATCAAAGTAAAGTTCAACTCAGTGAGATGAATGCACACATCACCAAGACGTTTCTGAGAAAGATTCTGTCTCGTTTTTATGTGAAGATATTTCCTGTTTCCCCAGAGGCATCAATGGGCTCACAAATATTCCTTTGCATATTCTACAAAATGACTGTTTAGAAGGTGCTCAATCAAAAAAAAAGTTCAACAGTGTGAGATGAATGCGCCCATTCAAAGGCAGTTTCTCAGAATTCTTCTGTCTAGTTTTTATGTGAAGATATTTCCTTTTTCACTATAGGCCACAAAGTGCTCCAAATATCCACTTGCAGACTCTACAAAAAGAGTGTATCCACACTGCTCAATCAAAAGAAAATTTCAACTGTGTGAGATGAATGCACACATCACAAATAAATTTCTCCAAAACTTCTGCCTACTTTTTATGGGAAGATATTTCGTTTTTCAACATAGGCCAAATGCGCTCCAAATATCAATTTGCAGATTCTACAAAAAGACTGTTTCCAAACTGCTCAATCAAGAGAAAGTTTCAACTCGGTGAGTTGAAGTCACACATGACAAAATAGTTTCTCAGAAAGTATCTGTCTAGTTTTTACGTGAAGATATTTCCTATCACCCCAGAAGCCTCAATGGGCTCACAAATATTCCTTTGCAGATTCTACAAAAAGGCAGTTTCAAAACTGCTGAATCAAAAGAAAGGTTCAACTCTGGGAGATGAATGCACAGATCACAAATAAGTTCCTCAGAATGCTGCTGTCTAGTTTTTATGGGAAGATAATTCCTTTTCCACCATAGGCCTCAAAGCTCTACAAATAGCCATTTGCAGATACTGTAAAAAGACTGTTTCCAAACTGCTGAATCAAAAGAAAGGTTGAACTCCATGAGTTGAATGCACACGTCACAAAGAAGTTTCTCAGAATGCTTCTGTCTAGTTTTTATGTGACAATGTTTCCTTTTCTACCATAGGCCTCAAAGCTCTACAAATATCCACTTGAAGATACTGCAAAAAGTGTGTTTCAAAACTGCTCAATTAAAAGAATGGTTCAACTTCGTGAGATGAATGCACACATCAGAAAGAAATTTCTCAGAATGCTTCTGTCTAGTTTTATGTAAAGATATTTCCTTTTCTACTATAGGCCACAAAGCACTCCAAATATCAACTTGCAGATTCTGCAGAAAGAGTTTTTCAAAGCTGCTCAATCAAAAGAAAAGTTCAACTCTTTGAGATGAATGCACACATCAGGAAGTTCCTCAGAATGCTTCTATTTTTATGTGAAGATAACCTTTTCTACCATAGACCATAAAACGCTCCAAATATCCCCTTGCAGTTTCTACTAAAAGAGTGTTTCCAAACTGCTCAATCAAAGGAAAGTTTCAACTCTGTGAGATGAATGCACACATCATTAAGAAGTTTCTCAGTAATTTTCTGTCTAGTTTTTATTTGAAGATATTTCCTTTCCTACTATAGGCCTGAAAGTGCTCCAAATATCCATTTGCAGATACTGCAAAAAGACTGCTTCCAAACTGCTCAATCAAAGGAAAGGTCCAACTCTATGAGTTGAATGCACGCATCTCAAAGAGATTTCTCAGAATGGTTCTGTCTAGTTTTGATGTGAAGATATTTGCTTTTCCACCAGTGGCCTCAAACTCTGCAAATATCCACTTGCAGATTCTACAATAAGAGTGTTTCAAAACTGCTCAATCAAAAGAAAGGTTCAACACTGTGAGATGAATGCACACGTCACAATGCACTTTCTTAGAATGCTTCTGTCTAGCTTTTATGTGAAGATATTTCCTTTTTCACCATAGGCTGCAAAGCGCTCCAAATATCCCTTTCAGATTCTACAGAAAGAGTGTTTCAAAACTGTTCAATCAAAAGAGAAACTCAACTCTGGTGATGAATGCACGCATCACAAAGCAGTTTCTCATCATGTTTGTCTGTCTAGTTTTTATGTGAAGATATTTCCTTTTCCACTATAGGCCGTAATGCACTCCTAATATCCACTTGCAGATTCTACAGAAAGACTGTTTGCAAACTGCTCAAACAAAAGAAAAGTTCAACTCTGTGAGTTGAATGAGCACATCACAAAGAAGTTTCTCAGAATGCTTCTGTCTAGTTTTTATGTGAATATATTTCCTTTTCCACTATAGGCCGTAATGCGCTCCAAATATCCACTTGCAGTTTCTACAAAAAGACTGTTTCCAAACTGCTCAATCAAAAGAGAAGCTCAACTCTGTGAGTTGAATGAGCACATCAGAAAGAAGTTTCTCAGAATGCTTCTATCTAGTTTTTATGTGAATATATTTCCTTTTCCACCACAGGCCACAAACACTCCAAATATCCACTTGAAGATTCTACAAAAAGAGTGCTTCAAAAATGCTCAATCAAAAGAAAGGTTCCACTCTTTGAGATGGATGCACACATCACAAAGAAGCTTCTCAGAATGTTTCTGTCTAGTTTTTTTGTGAAGATATTTCCTTTTCCACCGTAGTCCTCAAGTCTCTCCAAATATCTACTTTCAGAATCTCCAAAAAGAGTGTTTTAAAACTCCTGTACCAAAGAAAGTTTCATGTCTGAGATATGACTGCATACAACACAGAGAAGTTTCTCAAAGTGCTTCTGTTTATTTTTTTTATGAAGATATTTCCTTTTCCACTATGGGCCACAGAGCGCTCCAAATATCCACTGGCAGATTCTACAAAAAGAGTGTTTCAAAACTGCTCAATCTATAGAAAGTTTGAAGTCTGTGAGATGAATGCACACATCACAAAGGAGTTTCTAAGAATGCTTCCATCTGAATTTTATGTGAGGATATTTCCTTTCTCACCATAGGCCTCAGTACACTCCAAACATCCATTTACAGATAATACAAATGACTGTATCCAAACTGCTCAATCAAAAGAAAGTTCAACTGTGTATGATGAATGCACACATCACAAGGGTGTTTCTCAGAAAGATTTTGTCTAGTTTTTAGGTGAAGATATTTCTTTTTTCCCCAGAGGCCTCAATGGGCTCTCAAATATTCCCTTTTATATTCTACTAAATGACTGTATCGAAGTTGCTCAATCAAAAGACGGGTTTAACAGTGTGAGACGAAAATACACCTTCCTAGGAAGTTTCTCAGAATTCTTCTTTCTAGTTTTTTATGTGAAGATATTTCCTTTTCGACAATAGGCCTCAAATCGTTCCAAATATCCACTTGCAGATACTACAAATAGAGCGTTTCAAAACTGCTCAATCAAAAGAAAGGTTCAACTCTGTGAGATGAATGCAGACATCACAAAGAAGTTTCTCAGAATGCTTCTGCCTTGTTTTTATGTGAAGATATTTCCTTTTTCACCACAGGCCTCAAAGAACTGGTAATATCCATTTGCAGATACTACAAAAAGACTGTTCCCAAACTGCTCAATAAAAAGAAAGTTTCAACTCTATGAGATAAAAGCAAATATCACAAAGAAGTTTCTCAGAAACTTTCTATCTAGTTTTTATGTGAACATATTTCTTATCACCCCATAGACCTCAATCGGCTCACAAGTATCCTTCTGCAGATTATAAACATCTACTGTTTCCAAACCGCTCAATCACAGGAAAGGTTTAACTCTGTGAAATGAATGCATCCATCACAGAGAAGTTTCTCAGAATGCTTCCGTCTCGTTTTTATGTGAAGAAGATTCCTTTTCCACCATATTCCTCATGCGCTCCAAATAAACACTTGCAGATTCCGCTAAAAGAGTGTTTCAAAACTGCTCAATCAAAAGAAAGGTTCTAGTCGGTGAGATGAATGCACACATCACAAAGAAGTTTCTATGAATGCTTCTGTCTGATTTATATTGAAGATATTTCCTTTTTCACCGTAGGCCTCAGAGTGCTTAAAATATCCATTTGCATATACTAGAAAAGACTGTTTCCAAACTGCTCAATCAAAGTAAAGTTCAACTCAGTGAGATGAATGCACACATCACCAAGACGTTTCTGAGAAAGATTCTGTCTCGTTTTTATGTGAAGATATTTCCTGTTTCCCCAGAGGCATCAATGGGCTCACAAATATTCCTTTGCATATTCTACAAAATGACTGTTTAGAAGGTGCTCAATGAAAAAAAAAGTTCAACAGTGTGAGATGAATGCGCCCATTCAAAGGAAGTTTCTCAGAATTCTTCTATCTAGTTTTTATGTGAAGATATTTCCTTTTTCACTATAGGCCACAAAGTGCTCCAAATATCCACTTGCAGACTCTACAAAACGAGTGTATCCACACTGCTCAATCAAAAGAAAATTTCAACTGTGTGAGATGAACGCACACATCAAAATAAATTTCTCCAAAACTTCTGCCTACTTTTTAGGGGAAGATATTTCGTTTTTCAACGTAGGCCAAAAGCACTCCAAATATCAATTTGCAGATTCTACAAAAAGACTGTTTCCAAACTGCTCAATCAAGAGAAAGTTTCAACCCGGTGAGTAGAAGTCACACATGACAAAATAGTTTCTCAGGAAGTATCTGTCTAGTTTTTATGTGAAGATATTTCCTATCACCCCAGAAGCCTCAATGGGCTCACAAATATTCCTTTGCAGATTCTACAAAACGACAGTTTCAAAACTGCTGAATCAAAAGAAAGGTTCAACACTGTGAGATGAATGCACAGATCACAAATAAGTTTCTCACAATGCTGCTGTCTAGTTTTTATGGGAAGAGATTTCCTTTTCCACCATAGGCCTCAAAGCTCTCCAAATATCCATTTGCAGATACTGTGAAAAGTCTGTTTCCAAACTGCTGAATCAAAAGAAATGTTGAACTCCATGAGTTGAATGCACACGTCACAAAGAAGTTTCTCAGAATGCTTCTGACTAGTTTTTATGTGAAGATATTTTCTTTTCCACCATAGGCCTCAAAGCGCTGAAAATATTCACTTGAAGATTCTACAGAAAGAGAGTTTCAAAACTGCTCAAACAAAAGAAAGATTCAACTCTGTGAGATGAATGCACACATCACAAAGAAGTTTCTCAGAATGCTTCTGTCTAGTTTTATGTAAAGATATTTCCTTTTCTACTATAGGCCACAAAGCATTCCAAATATCAACTTGCAGATTCTGCAGAAAGAGTTTTTCAAAGCTGCTCAATCAAAAGAAAAGTTCAACTCTTTGAGATGAATGCACACATCATGAAGTTCCTCAGAATGCTTCTATTTTTATGTGAAGATATATCCTTTTCTACCATAGACCACAAAACGCTCCAAATATCCCCTTGCAGTTTCTACTAAAAGAGTGTTTCCAAACGGCTCAATCAAAAGAAAGTTTCAACTCTGTGAGATGAATGCACACAACATTAAGTAGTGTCTCAGTAATTTGCTGTCTAGTTTTTATGTGAAGATATTTCCTTTCCTACTATAGGCCTGAAAGTGCTCCAAATATCCGTTTGCAGATACTGCATAAAGACTGTTTCCAAACTGCTCAATCAAAGGAAATGTCCAACTCTGTGAGTTGAATGCACGCATCTCAAAGAGATTACTTATAATGATTCTGTCTAGTTTTGATGTGAAGATATTTGCTTTTCCACCAGTGACCTCAAACTCTCCAAATATCCACTTGCAGATTCTACAATAAGAGTGTTTCAAAACTGCTCAATCAAAAGAAAGCTTCAACACTGTGAGATGAATGCACACGTCACAAAGCACTTTCTTAGAATGCTTCTGTCTAGCTTTTATGTGAAGATATTTCCTTTTTCACCATAGGCTGCAAAGCGCTCCAAATATCCCTTTCAGATTCTACAGAAAGAGTGTTTGAAAACTGTTCAATCAAAAGAGAAACTCAACTCTGGTGATGAATGCACACATCACAAAGCAGTTTCTCATAATGTTTCTGTCTAGTTTTTATGTGAAGATATTTCATTCTCCACTATAGGCCATAATGCACTCCTAATATCCACTTGCAGATTCTACAAAAAGACTGTTTGCAAACTGCTCAAACAAAAGAAAAGTTCAACTCTGTGAGTTGAATGAGCACATCACAAAGAAGTTTCTCAGAATGCTTCTGTCTAGTTTTTATGTGAATATATTTCCTTTTCCACTATAGGCCGTAATGCGCTCCAAATATCCACTTGCAGATTCTACAAAAAGACTGTTTCCCAACTGCTCAATCAAAAGAAAAGCTCAACTCTGTGAGTTGAATGAGCACATCACAAAGAAGTTTCTCAGAATGCTTCTATCTAGTTTTTATGTGAATATATTTCCTTTTCCACCACAGGCCACAAACTCTCCAAATATCCACTTGAAGATTCTACAAAAAGAGTGCTTCAAAAATGCTCAATCAAAAGAAAGGTTCAACTCTTTGAGATGGATGCACATATCAAAAAGACGCTTCTCAGAATGTTTCTGTCTAGTTTTTTTGTGAAGATATTTCCTTTTCCACCGTAGTCCTCAAGTCTCTCCAAATATCTACTTTCAGAATCTCCAAAAAGAGTGTTTTAAAACTGCTGTACCAAAGAAAGTTTCATGTCTGAGATATGACTGCATACAACCCAGAGAAAGTTCTCAAAGTGCTTCTGTTTATTTTTTTTATGAAGATATTTCCTTTTCCACTATGGGCCACAGAGCGCTCCAAGTATCCACTGGCAGATTCTACAAAAAGAGTGTTTCAAAACTGCTCAATCAATAGAAAGTTTGAAGTCTGTGAGATGAGTGCACACATCACAAAGGAGTTTCTAAGAATGCTTCCATCTGAATTTTATGTGAGGATACTTCCTTTTTCACCATAGGCCTCAGTACACTCCAAATATCCATTTACAGATAATACAAATGACTGTATCCAAACTGCTCAATCAAAAGAAAGTTCAACTGTGTATGATGAATGCACACATCACAAGGGTGTTTCTCAGAAAGATTTTGTCTAGTTTTTAGGTGAAGATATGTCTTATTTCCCCAGAGGCCTCAATGGGCTCTCAAATATTCCCTTTCATATTCTACTAAATGACTGTATCGAAGCTGCTCAATCAAAAGACGGGTTTAACAGTGTGAGACGAAAATACACCTTCCTAGGAAGTTTCTCAGAATTCTTCTTTCTAGTTTTTTATGTGAAGATATTTCCTTTTCCACTATAGGCCTCAAAGCGTTCCAAATATCCAATTGCAGATACTACAAATAGAGCGTTTCAAAACTGCTCAATCAAAAGAAAGGTTCAACTCTGTGAGATGAATGCAGACATCAAAAAGAAGTTTCTCAGAATGCTTCTGCCTTGTTTTTATGTGAAGATATTTCCTTTTCCACCATAGGCCTCAAAGCACTGGTAATATCCATTTGTAGATACTACAAAAAGACTGTTCCCAAACTTCTCAATAAAAAGAAAGTTTCAACTCTAGGAGATAAAAGCAAATATCACAAAGAAGTTTCTCAGAAACTTTCTATCTAGTTTTTATGTGAACATATTTCTTATCACCCCATAGACCTCAATCGGCTCACAAGTATCCTTCTGCAGATTGTAAAAAACTACTGTTTCCAAACCGCTCAATCACAGGAAAGGTTTAACTCTGTGAAATGAATGCATCCATCACAGAGAAGTTTCTAAGAATGCTTCCGTCTCGTTTTTATGTGAAGAAGATTCCTTTTCCACCATATTCCTCATGCGCTCCAAATAAACACTTGCAGATTCCGCTAAAAGAGTGTTTCAAAACTGCTCAATCAAAAGAAAGGTTCTAGTCGGTGAGATGAATGTACACATCCCAAAGAAGTTTCTATGAATGCTTCTGTCTGGTTTATATTGAAGATATTTCCTTTTTCACCGTAGGCCTCAGAGTGCTTAAAATATCCATTTGCAGATACTAGAAAAGACTGTTTCCAAACTGCTCAATCAAAATAAAGTTCAACTCAGTGAGATGAATGCACACATCACCAAGACGTTTCTGAGAAAGATTCTGTCTAGTTTTTATTTGAAGATATTTCCTATTTCCCCAGAGGCATCAATGGGCTCAAAAATATTCCTTTGCATATTCTACAAAATGACTGTTTAGAAGCTGCTCAATCAAAAAAAGGTTCAACACTGTGAGATAAATGCGCACATTCAAAGGAAGTTTCTCAGAATTCTTCTGTCTAGTTTTTATGTGAAGATATTTCCTTTTTCACTATAGGCCACAAAGTGCTCCAAATATCCACTTGCAGACTCTACAAAACGAGTGTATCCACACTGCTCAATCAAAAGAAAATTTCAACTGTGTGAGATGAATGCACACATCAAAATAAATTTCTCCAAAACTTCTGTCTAGTTTTTATGTGAAGATATTTCCTATCACCCCAGGAAGCCTCAATGGGCTCACAAATATTCCTTTGCAGATTCTACAAAACGACAGTTTCAAAACTGCTGAATCAAAAGAAAGGTTCAACTCTGTGAGATGAATGCACAGATCACAAATAAGTTTCTCAGAATGCTGCTGTCTAGTTTTTATGGGAAGAGATTTCCTTTTACACCATAGGCCTCAAAGCTCTCCAAATAGCCATTTGCAGATACTGTAAAAAGACTGTTTCCAAACTGCTGAATCAAAAGAAAGGTTGAACTCCATGAGTTGAATGCACACGTCACAAAGAAGTTTCTCAGAATGCTTCTGACTAGTTTTTATGTGAAGATAATTTCTTTTCCACCATAGGCCTCAAAGCGCTGAAAATATCCACTTGAAGATTCTACAGAAAGAGTTTCAAAACTGCTCAAACAAAAGAAAGATTCAACTCTGTGAGATGAATGCACACATCACAAAGAAGTTTCTCAGAATGCTTCTGTCTAGTTTTATGTAAAGATATTTCCTTTTCTACTATAGGCCACAAAGCACTCCAAATATCAACTTGCAGATTCTGCAGAAAGAGTTTTTCAAAGCTGCTCAGTCAAAAGACAAGTTAAACTCTTTGAGATGAATGCACACATCATGAAGTTCCTCAGAATGCTTCTATTTTTATGTGAAGATATAGCCTTTTCTACCATAGACCACAAAACGCTCCAAATATCCCCTTGCAGTTTCTACTAAAAGAGTGTTTCCAAACTGCTCAATCAAAAGAAGTTTCAACTCTGTGAGATGAATGCACATATCATTAAGAAGTTTCTCAGTAATTTCCTGTCTAGTTTTTATGTGAAGATATTTCCTTTCCTACTATAGGCCTGAAAGTGCTCCAAATATCCGTTTGCAGATACTGCAAAAAGACTGTTTCCACACTGCTCAATCAAAGGAAATGTCCAACTCTGTGAGTTGAATGCACGCATCTCAAAGAGATTACTTATAATGATTCTGTCTAGTTTTGATGTGAAGATATTTGCTTTTCCACCAGTGGCCTCAAACTCTGCAAATATCCACTTGCAGATTCTACAATAAGAGTGTTTCAAAACTGCTCAATCAAAAGAAAGGTTCAACACTGTGAGATGAATGCACACGTCATAATGCACTTTCTTAGAATGCTTCTGTCTAGCTTTTATTTGAAGATATTTCCTTTTTCACCATAGGCTGCAAAGCGCTCCAAATATCCCTTTCAGATTCTACAGAGAGAGTGTTTCAAAACTGTTCAATCAAAAGAGAAATTCAACTCTGGTGATGAATGCACGCATCACAGAGCAGTTTCTCATAATGTTTCTGTCTATTTTTTATGTGAAGTTATTTCATTTTCCACTATAGGCCGTAATGCACTCCTAATATCCACTTGCAGATTCTACAAAAAGACTGTTTGCAAACTGCTCAAACAAAAGAAAAGTTCAACTCTGTGAGTTGAATGAGCACATCATAAAAAGTTTCTCAGAATGCTTCTGTCTAGTTTTTATGTGAATATATTTCCTTTTCCACTATAGGCCGTCATGCGCTCCAAATATCCACTTGCAGATTCTACAAAAAGACTGATTCCAAACTGCTCAATCAAAAGAAAAGCTCAACTCTGTGAATTGAATGAGCACATCACAAAGAAGTTTCTCAGAATGCTTCTATCTAGTTTTTATGTGAATATATTTCCTTTTCCACCACAGGCCACAAACCCTCCAAATATCCACTTGAAGATTCTACAAAAAGAGTGCTTCAAAAATACTCAATCAAAAGAAAGGTTCAACTCTTCGAGATGGACGCACACATCACAAAGAAGCTTCTCAGAATGTTTCTGTCTAGTATTTTTGTGAAGATATTTCCTTTTCCACCGTAGTCCTCAAGTCTCTCCAATTATCTACTTTCAGAATCTCCAAAAAGAGTGTTTTAAAACTGCTGTACCAAAGAAAGTTTCATGTCTGAGATATGACTGCATACAACACAGAGAAGTTTCTCAAAGTGCTTCTGTTTATTTTTTTTATGAAGATATTTCCTTTTCCACTATGGGCCACAGAGCGCTCCAAATATCCACTTGCAGATTCTACAAAAAGAGTGTTTCAAAACTGCTCAATCAATAGAAAGTTTGAAGTCTGTGAGATGAGTGCACACATCACAAGGGAGTTTCTGAGAATGCTTCCATGTGATTTTTATGTGAAGAAATTTCGTTTTTCACCACAGGCCTCAATACACTCCAAATATCCATTTACAGATAATACAAATGACTGTTTCCAAACTGCCCAATCAAAAGGAAGTTCAACTCTGTGTGACGAATGCACATATCACAAGGAAGTTTCTCAGAAAGTTTGTGTCTAGTTTTTAGGTGAAGATACTTCCTATTTCCCTAGAGGCCGCAATGGGCTCTCAAATATTCTCTTTCAGATTTTACTAAACGACTATATCGGAGCTGCTCAATCAAAAGAAAGGTTCAACAGTGTGAGATGAAAGCACACATTCCTAGGAAGTTTCTCAGAATTCTTCTTTCTAGGTTTTTATGTGAAGATATTTCCTTTTCCACTATAGGCCTCAAAGCGTTCCAAATATCCACTTGCAGATACTACAAATAGAGCGTTTCAAAACTGCACAATCAAAAGAAAGGTTCAACTCTGTGAGATGAATGCAGACATCAAAAAGAAGTTTCTCAGAATGCTTCTGCCTTGTTTTTATGTGAAGATATTTCCTTTTTCACCATAGGCCTCAAAGCACTGGTAATATCCATTTGCAGGTACTACAAAAAGACTGTTCCCAAACAGCTCAATAAAAAGAAAGTTTCAACTCTATGAGATGAAAGCAAATATCACAAAGAAGTTTCTCGGAAACTTTCTATCTATTTTTTATGTGAACATATTTCTTATCACCCCATAGACCTCAATCGGCTCACAAGTATCCTTCTGCAGATTGTAAAAAACTACTGTTTCCAAACCGCTCAATCACAGGAAAGGTTTAACTCTGTGAAATGAATGCATCCATCACAGAGAAGTTTCTCAGAATGCTTCCATCTCGTTTCTATGTGAAGAAGATTCCTTTTCCACCATATTCCTCATGCGCTCCAAATAAACACTTGCAGATTCCGCTAAAAGAGTGTTTCAAAACTGCTCAATCAAAAGAAAGGTTCTAGTCGGTGAGATGAATGCACACATCACAAAGAAGTTTCTATGAATCCTTCTGTCTGATTTATATTGAAGATATTTCCTTTTTCACCGTAGGCCTCAGAGTGCTTAAAATATCCATTTGCAGATACTAGAAAAGACTGTTTCCAAACTGCTCAATCAAAATAAAGTTCAACTCAGTGAGATGAATGCTCACATCACCAAGACGTTTCTGAGAAAGATTCTGTCTCGTTTTTATGTGAAGATATTTCCTGTTTCCGCAGAGGCATCAATGGGCTCACAAATATTCCTTTGCATATTCTACAAAATGACTGTTTAGAAGGTGCTCAATCAAAAAAAAAAGTTCAACAGTGTGAGATGAATGCGCCCATTCAAAGGAAGTTTCTCAGAATTCTTCTATCTAGTTTTTATGTGAAGATATTTCCTTTTTCACTATAGGCCACAAAGTGCTCCAAATATCCACTTGCAGACTCTGCAAAACGAGTGTATCCACACTGCTCAATCAAAAGAAAATTTCAACTGTGTGAGATGAATGCACACATCAAAATAAATTTCTCCAAAACTTCTGCCTACTTTTTATGGGAAGATATTTCGTTTTTCAATGTAGGCCAAAAGCACTCCAAATATCAATTTGCAGATTCTACAAAAAGACTGTTTCCAAACTGCTCAATCAACAGAAAGTTTCAACCCGGTGAGTAGAAGACACACATGACAAAATAGTTTCTCAGAAAGTATCTGTCTAGTTTTTATGTGAAGATATTTCCTATCACCCCAGAAGCCTCAATGGGCTCACAAATATTCCTTTGCAGATTCTACAAAACGACAGTTTCAAAACTGCTGAATCAAGAGAAAGGTTCAACTCTGTGAGATGAATGCGCAGATCACAAATAAGTTTCTCAGAATGCTGCTGTCTAGTTTTTATGGGAAGATATTTCCTTTTCCACCATAGGCCTCAAAGCTCTCCAAATATCCATCTGCAGATACTGTAAAAAGACTGTTTCCAAACTGCTGAATCAAAAGAAAGGTTGAACTCCATGAGTTGAATGCACACGTCACAAAGAAGTTTCTCAGAATGCTTCTGACTAGTTTTTATGTGAAGATATTTTCTTTTCCACCATAGTCCTCAAAGCACTAAAAATATCCACTTGAAGATTCTACAGAAAGAGAGTTTCAAAACTGCTCAAACAAAAGAAAGATTCAACTCTGTGAGATGAATGCACACATCACAAAGAAGTTTCTCAGAATGCTTCTGTCTAGTTTTAAGTAAAGATATTTCCTTTTCTACTATAGGCCACAAAGCACTCCAAATATCAACTTGCAGATTCTGCAGAAAGAGTTTTTCAAAGCTACTCAATCAAAAGAAAAGTTCAACTCTTTGAGATGAATGCACACATCATGAAGTTCCTCAAAATGCTTCTATTTTTATGTGAAGATATAGCCTTTTCTACCATAGACCACAAAATGCTCCAAATATCCCCTTGCAGTTTCTACTAAAAGAGTGTTTCCAAACTGCTCAATCAAAAGAAAGTTTCAACTCTGTGAGATGAATGCACACATCATTAAGAAGTTTCTCAGTAATTTTCTGTCTAGTTTTTATGTGAAGATATTTAATTTCCTACTATAGGCCTGAAAGTGCTCCAAATATCCGTTTGCAGATACTGCAAAAAGACTGTTTCCAAACTGCTCAATCAAAGGAAATGTCCAACTCTGTGAGTTGAATGCACGCATCTCAAAGAGATTACTTATAATGATTCTGTCTAGTTTTGATGTGAAGATATTTGCTTTTCCACCAGTGGCCTCAAACTCTCCAAATATCCACTTGCAGATTCTACAATAAGAGTGTTTCAAAACTGCTCAATCAAAAGAAAGGTTCAACACTGTGAGGTGAATGCACACGTCACAAAGCACTTTCTTAGAATGCTTCTGTCTAGCTTTTATGTGAAGATATTTCCTTTTTCACCATAGGCTGCAAAGCGCTCCAAATATCCCTTTCAGATTCTACAGAAAGAGTGTTTCAAAACTGTTCAATCAAAAGAGAAACTCAACACTGGTGATGAATGCACGCATCACAAAGCAGTTTCTCATAATGTTTTTGTCTGGTTTTTATGTGAAGATATTTCATTTTCCACTATAGGCCGTAATGCACTCCTAATATCCACTTGCAGATTCTACAGAAAGACTGTTTGCAAACTGCTCAAACAAAAGAAAAGTTCAACTCTGTGAGTTGAATGAGCACATCACAAAGAAGTTTCTCAGAATGCTTCTGTCTAGTTTTTATGTGAATATATTTCCTTTTCCACTATAGGCCGTAATGCGCTCCAAATATCCACTTGCAGTTTCTACAAAAAGACTGTTTCCAAACTGCTCAATCAAAAGAAAAGCTCAACTCTGTGAGTTGAATGAGCACATCAGAAAGAAGTTTCTCAGAATGCTTCTATCTAGTTTTTATGTGAATATATTTCCTTTTCCACCTCAGGCCACAAACACTCCAAATATCCACTTGAAGATTCTACAAAAAGAGTGCTTCAAAAATGGTCAATCAAAAGAAAGGTTCAACTCTTTGAGATGGATGCACACATCACAAAGAAGCTTCTCAGAATGTTTCTGTCTAGTTTTTGTGTGAAGATATTTCCTTTTCCACCATAGTCCTCATGTCTCTCAAATATCTACTTTCAGAATCTCCAAAAAGAGTGTTTTAAAACTGCTGTATCAAAGAAAGTTTCATGTCTGAGATATGACTGCATACAGCACAGAGAAGTTTCTCAAAGTGCTTCTGTTTATTTTTTTTATGAAGATATTTCCTTTTCCACTATGGGCCACAGAGCGCTCCAAATATCGACTTGCAGATTCTACAAAAAGAGTGTTTCAAAACTGCTCAATCAATAGAAAGTTTGAAGTCTGTGAGATGAATGCACACATCACAAAGGAGTTTCTAAGAATGCTTCCATCTGAATTTTATGTGAGGATATTTCCTTTTTCACCATAGGCCTCAATACACTCCAAATATCCATTTACAGATAATACAAATGACTGTATCCAAACTGCTCAATCAAAAGAATGTTCAACTGTGTATGATGAATGCACACATCAGAAGGGTGTTTCTCAGAAAGTTTTTGTCTAGCTTTTAGGTGAAGATATTTCTTATTTCCCCAGAGGCCTCAATGGGCTCTCAAATATTCCCTTTCATATTCTCCTAAATGACTGTATCGAAGCTGCTCAATCAAAAGACGGGTTTAACAGTGTGAGACGAAAATACACCTTCCTCGGAAGTTTCTCAGAATTCTTCTTTCTAGGTTTTTATGTGAAGATATTTCCTTTTCCACTATAGGCCTCAAAGCGTTCCAAATATCCACTTGCAGATCCTACAAATAGAGCCTTTCAAAACTGCTCAATCAAAAGAAAGGTTCAACTCTGTGAGATGAATGCAGACATCAAAAAGAAGTTTCTCAGAATGCTTCCGCCTTGTTTTTATGTGAAGATATTTCCTTTTTCACCATACGCCTCAAAGCACTGGTAATATCCATTTGCAGATACTACAAAAAGACTGTTCCCAAACTGCTCAATAAAAAGAAATTTTCAACTCTATGAGATAAAAGCTAATATCACAAAGCAGTTTCTCAGAAACTTTCTATCTAGTTTTTATGTGAACATATTTCTTATCACCCCATAGACCTCAATCGGCTCACAAGTATCCTTCTGCAGATTGTAAAAAACTACTGTTTCCAAACCGCTCAATCACAGGAAAGGTTTAACTCTGTGAAATGAATGCATCCATCACGGAGAAGTTTCTTAGAATGTTTCCGTCTCGTTTTCAAGTGAAGAAGATTCCTTTTCCACCATATTCCTCATGCGCTCCAAATAAACACTTGCAGATTCCGCTAAAAGAGTGTTTCAAAACTGCTCAATGAAAAGAAAGGTTCTAGTCGGTGAGATGAATGCACACATCACAAAGAAGTTTCTATGAATGCTTCTGTCTGATTTATATTGAAGATATTTCCTTTTTCACCGTAGGCCTCAGAGTGCTTAAAATATACATTTGCAGATACTAGAAAAGACTGTTTCCAAACTGCTCAATCAAAATAAAGTTCAACTCAGTGAGATGAATGCACACATCACCAAGACGTTTCTGAGAAAGATTCTGTCTCGTTTTTATGTGAAGATATTTCCTGTTTCCCCAGAGGCATCAATGGGCTCACAAATATTCCTTTGCAGATTCTACAAAATGACTCTTTAGAAGGTGCTCAATCAAAAAAAAAGTTCAACAGTGTGAGATGAATGCACCCATTCAAAGGAAGTTTCTCAGAATTCTTCTATCTAGTTTTTATGTGAAGATATTTCCTTTTTCACTATAGGCCAGAAAGTGCTCCAAATATCCACTTGCAGACTCTACAAAACGAGTGTATCCACACTGCTCAATCAAAAGAAAATTTCAACTGTGTGAGATGAATGCACACATCAAAATAAATTTCTCCAAAACTTCTGCCTAGTTTTTATGGAAAGATACTTCATTTTTCAACATAGGCCAAAAGTGCTCCAAATATTCATTTGCAGATTCTACAAAAAGACTGTTCCCAAACTGCTCAATCAAGAGAAAGTTTCAACCCGGTGAGTTGAAGTCACACATGACAAAATAGTTTCTCAGAAAGTATCTGTCTAGTTGTTATGTGAAGATAT
Source organism: Homo sapiens (assembly GCF_000001405.40). NCBI lineage: Eukaryota > Metazoa > Chordata > Mammalia > Primates > Hominidae > Homo > Homo sapiens. Next base: position 16,169,381 of record NC_000014.9, on the reverse strand, counting down.
TTCCTATCTCCCCAGAAGCCTCAATGGGCTCACAAATATCCCTTTGCAGATTCTACAAAACGACAGTTTCAAAACTGCTGAATCAAAAGAAAGGTTCAACTCTGTGAGATGAATGCACAGATCACAAATAAGTTTCTCAGAATGCTGCTGTCTAGTTTTTATGGGAAGAGATTTCCTTTTCCACCATAGGCCTCAAAGCTCTCCAAATAGCCATTTGCAGATACTGTAAAAAGACTGTTTCCAAACTGCTGAATGAAAAGAAAGGTTGAACTCCATGAGTTGAATGCACACGTCACAAAGAAGTTTCTCAGAATGCTTCTGACTAGTTTTTATGTGAAGATATTTTCTTTTCCACCGTAGGCCTCAAAGCGCTGAAAATATCCACTTGAAGATTCTACAAAAAGAGAGTTTCAAAACTGCTCAAACAAAAGAAAGATTCAACTCTGTGAGATGAATGCACACATCACAAAGAAGTTTCTCAGAATGCTTCTGTCTAGTTTTATGTAAAGATATTTCCTTTTCTACTATAGGCCACAAAGCTTTCCAAATATCAACTTGCAGATTCTGCAGAAAGAGTTTTTCAAAGCTGCTCAATCAAAAGAAAAGTTCAACTCTTTGAGATGAATGCACACATCAGGAAGTTCCTCAGAATGCTTCTATTTTTATGTGAAGATAACCTTTTCTACCATAGACCATAAAACCCTCCAAATATCCCCTTGCACTTTCTACTAAAAGAGTGTTTCCAAACTGCTCAATCACAGGAAAGTTTCAACTCTGTGAGATGAATGCACACATCATTACGAAGTTTCTCAGTAATTTTCTGTCTAGTTTTTATGTGAAGATATTTCCTTTCCTACTATAGGCCTGAAAGTGCTCCAAATATCCGCTTGCAGATACCGCAAAAAGACTGTTTCCAAACTGCTCAATCAAAGGAAACGTCCAACTCTGTGAGTTGAATGCACGCATCTCAAAGAGATTACTTATAATGATTCTGTCTAGTTTTGATGTGAAGATATTTGCTTTTCCACCAGTGGCCTCAAACTCTCCAAATATCCACTTGCAGATTCTACAATAAGAGTGTTTCAAAACTGCTCAATCAAAAGAAAGGTTCAACACTGTCAGATGAATGCACGCGTCACAAAGCACTTTCTTAGAATGCTTCTGTCTAGCTTTTATGGGAAGATGTTTCCTTTTACACCATAGGCTGCAAAGCGCTCCAAATATCCCTTTCAGATTCTACAGAAAGAGTGTTTCAAAACTGTTCAATCAAAAGAGAAACTCAACTCTGGTGATGAATGCACGCATCACAAAGCAGTTTCTCATAATGTTTCTGTCTAGTTTTTATGTGAAGATATTTCATTTTCCACTATAGGCCGTAATGCACTCCTAATATCCACTTGCAGATTCTACAGAAAGACTGTTTCCAAACTGCTCAATCAAAAGAAAAGCTCAACTCTGTGAGTTGAATGAGCACATCACAAAGAAGTTTCTCAGAATGCTTCTGTCTAGTTTTTATGTGAATATATTTCCTTTTCCACTATAGGCCGTAATGCGCTCCAAATATCCACTTGCAGATTCTACAGAAAGACTGTTTCCAAACTGCTCAATCAAAAGAAAAGCTCAACTCTGTGAGTTGAATGAGCACATCACAAAGAAGTTTCTCAGAATGCTTCTATCTAGTTTTTATGTGAATATATTTGCTTTTCCACCACAGGCCACAAACCCTCCAAATATCCACTTGAAGATTCTACAAAAAGAGTGCCTCAAAAATGCGCAATCAAAACAAAGGTTCAACTCTTCGAGATGGACGCACACAACACAAAGAAGCTTCTCAGAATGTTTCTGTCTAGTTTTCTTGTGAAGATATTTCCTTTTCCACCGTAGTCCTCAAGTCTCTCCAAATATCTACTTTCAGAATCTCCAAAAAGAGTGTTTTAAAACTCCTGTACCAAAGAAAGTTTCATGTCTGAGATATGACTGCATACAACACAGAGAAGTTTCTCAAAGTGCTTCTGTTTATTTTTCTTATGAAGATATTTCCTTTTCCACTATGGGCCACAGAGTGCTCCAAATATCCACTGGCAGATTCTACAAAAAGGGTGTTTCAAAACTGCTCAATCAATAGAAAGTTTGAAGTCTGTGAGATGAATGTACACATCACAAAGGAGTTTCTAAGAATGCTTCCATCTGAATTTTATGTGAGGATATTTCCTTTTTCACCATAGGCCTCAGTACACTCCAAATATCCATTTACAGATAATACAAATGACTGTATCCAAACTGCTCAATCAAAAGAAAGTTCAACTGTGTATGATGAAGGCACACATCACAAGGCTGTTTCTCAGAAAGATTTTGTCTAGTTTTTAGGTGAAGATATTTCTTATTTCCCCAGAGGCCTCAATGGGCTCTCAAATATTCCCTTTCATATTCTACTAAATGACTGTATCGAAGCTGCTCAATCAAAAGACGGGTTTAACAGTGTGAGACGAAAACACACCTTCCTAGGAAGTTTCTCAGAATTCTTCTTTCTAGTTTTTTATGTGAAGATATTTCCTTTTCCACTATAGGCCTCAAAGCGTTCCAAATATCCACTTGCAGATACTACAAATAGAGCGTTTCAAAACTGCTCAATCAAAAGAAAGGTTCAACTCTGTGAGATGAATGCATACATCAAAAAGAAGTTTCTCAGAATGCTTCCGCCTTGTTTTTATGTGAAGATATTTCCTTTTCCACCATAGGCCTCAAAGCACTGGTAATATCCATTTGCAGATACTACAAAAAGACTGTCCCCAAACTGCTCAATAAAAAGAAAGTTTCAACTCTAGGAGATAAAAGCAAATATCACAAAGAAGTTTCTCAGAAACTTTCTATCTAGTTTTTATGTGAACATATTTCTTATCACCCCATAGACCTCAATGGCTCACAAGTATCCTTCTGCAGATTATAAAAAACGACTGTTTCCAAACCACTCAATCACAGGAAAGGTTCCACTCTGTGAAATGAATGCACCCATCACAGAGAAGTTTCTCAGAATGCTTCTGTCTCGTTTTTATGTGAAGAAGATTCCTTTTCCACCATATTCCTCATGCACTCTAAATAAACACTTGCAGATTCTGCTATAAAAGTGTTTCAAAACTGCTCAATCAAAAGAAAGGTTCTAGTCAGTGAGATGAATGCACACATCACAAAGAAGTTTCTATGAATGCTTCTGTCTGATTTATATTGAAGATATTTCTTTTTTCACCGTAGGCCTCAGAGTGCTTAAAATATCCATTTGCAGATACTAGAAAAGACTGTTTCCAAACTGCTCAATCAAAGTAAAGTTCAACTCAGTGAGATGAATGCACACATCACCAAGACGTTTCTGAGAAAGATTCTGTCTCGTTTTTATGTGAAGATATTTCCTGTTTCTCCAGAGGCATCAATGGGCTCACAAACATTCCTTTGCCTATTCTACAAAATGACTGTTTAGAAGGTGCTCAATCAAAAAAAAAGTTCAACAGTGTGAGATGAATGCGCCCATTCAAAGGAAGTTTCTCAGAATTCTTCTATCTAGTTTTTATGTGAAGATATTTCCTTTTTCACTATAGGCCACAAAGTGCTCCAAATATCCACTTGCAGACTCTACAAAACGAGTGTATCCACACTGCACAATCAAAAGAATATTTCAACTGTGTGAGATGAATGCACACATCAAAATAAATTTCTCCAAAACTTCTGCCTACTTTTTATGGGAAGATATTTCGTTTTTCAACGTAGGCCAAAAGCACTCCAAATATCAATTTGCAGATTCTACAAAAAGACTGTTTCCAAACTGCTCAATCAAGAGAAAGTTTCAACCCAGTGAGTAGAAGTCACACATGACAAAATAGTTTCTCAGAAAGTATCTGTCTAGTTTTTATGTGAAGATATTTCCTATCACCCCAGAAGCCTCAATGGTCTCACAAATATTCCTTTGCAGATTCTACAAAACGACAGTTTCAAAACTGCTGAATCAAAAGAAAGGTTCAACTCTGTGAGATTAATGCACAGATCACAAATAAGTTTCTCAGAATGCTGCTGTCTAGTTTTAATGGGAAGAGATTTCCTTTTCCACCATAGGCCTCAAAGCTCTCCAAATAGCCATTTGCAGATACTGTAAAAAGACTGTTTCCAAACTGCTGAATCAAAAGAAAGGTTGAACTCCATGAGTTGAATGCACACGTCATAAAGAAGTTTCTCAGAATGGTTCTGACTAGTTTTTATGTGAAGATATTTTCTTTTCCACCGTAGGCCTCAAAGCGCTGAAAATATCCACTTGAAGATTCTACAAAAAGAGAGTTTCAAAACTGCTCAAACAAAAGAAAGATTCAACTCTGTGAGATGAATGCACACATCACAAAGAAGTTTCCTCAGAATGCTTCTGTCTAGTTTTATGTAAAGATATTTCCTTTTCTACTATAGGCCACAAAGCACTCCAAATATCAACTTGCAGATACTGCAGAAAGAGTTTTTCAAAGCTGCTCAATCAAAAGAAAAGTTCAACTCTTTGAGACGAATGCACACATCAGGAAGTTCCTCAGAATGCTTCTATTTTTATGTGAACATATCCTTTTCTACCATAGACCACAAAACGCTCCAAATATCCCCTTGCAGTTTCTACTAAAAGAGTGTTTCCAAACGGCTCAATCAAAAGAAAGTTTCAACGCTGTGAGATGAATGCACACATCATTAAGAAGTGTCTCAGTAATTTGCTGTCTAGTTTTTATGTGAAGATATTTCCCTTCCTACTATAGGCCTGAAAGTGCTCCAAATATCCGTTTGCAGATACTGCATAAAGACTGTTTCCAAACTGCTCAATCAAAGGAAATGTCCAACTCTGTGAGTTGAATGCACGCATCTCAAAGAGATTACTTATAATGATTCTGTCTAGTTTTGATGTGAAGATATTTGCTTTTCCACCAGTGGCCTCAAACTCTCCAAATATCCACTTGCAGATTCTACAATAAGAGTGTTTCAAAACTGCTCAATCAAAAGAAAGGTTCAACACTCTGAGATGAATGCACACGTCACAAAGCACTTTCTTAGAATGCTTCTGTCTAGCTTTTATGTGAAGATATTTCCTTTTTCACCATAGGCTGCAAAGCGCTCCAAATATCCCTTTCAGATTCAACAGAAAGAGTGTTTCAAAACTGTTCAATCAAAAGAGAAACACAACTCTGGTTATGAATGCACGCATCACATAGTAGTTTCTCATCATGTTTCTGTCTATTTTTTATGTGAAGTTATTTCATTTTCCACTATAGGCCGTAATGCACTCCTAATATCCACTTGCAGATTCTACAAAAGACTGTTTGCAAACTGCTCAAACAAAAGAAAAGTTCAACTCTGTGAGTTGAATGAGCACATCACAAAGAAGTTTCTCAGAATGCTTCTGTCTAGTTTCTATGTGAATATATTTCCTTTTCCACTATAGGCCGTAATGCGCTCCAAATATCCACTTGCAGTTTCTACAAAAAGACTGTTTCCAAACTGCTCAATCAAAAGAAAAGCTCAACTCTGTGAGTTGAATGAGCACATCAGAAAGAAGTTTCTCAGAATGCTTCTGTCTAGTTTTTAAGTGAATATATTTCCTTTTCCACCACAGGCCACAAACACTCCAAATATCCACTTGAAGATTCTACAAAAAGAGTGCTTCAAAAATGCTCAATCAAAAGAAAGTTTCAACTCTTTGAGATGGATGCACACATCACAAAGAAGCTTCTCAGAATGTTTCTGTCTAGTTTTTTTGTGAAGATATTTCCTTTTCCACCGTAGTCCTCAAGTCTCTCCAAATATCTACTTTCAGAATCTCCAAAAAGAGTGTTTGAAAACTGCTGTACCAAAGAAAGTTTCATGTCTGAGATATGACTGCATACAACACAGAGAAGTTTCTCAAAGTGCTTCTGTTTATTTTTCTTATGAAGATATTTCCTTTTCCACTATGGGCCACAGAGCGCTCCAAATATCCACTGGCAGATTCTACAAAAAGAGTGTTTCAAAACTGCTCAATCAATAGAAAGTTTGAAGTCTGTGAGATGAATGTGCACATCACAAAGGAGTTTCTAAGAATGCTTCCATCTGAATTTTATGTGAGGATATTTCCTTTTTCACCATAGGCCTCAATACGCTCCAAATATCCATTTATAGATAATACAAATGACTGTATCCAAACCGCTCAATCAAAAGAAAGTTCAACTTGTGTATGATGAATACACACATCACAAGGAAGTTTCTCAGAAAGTTTTTGTCTAATTTTTAGGTGAAGTTATTTCTTACTTCCCCAGAGGCCTCAATGGGCTCTCAAATATTCCCTTTCATATTCTACTAAACGACTGTATCGAATCTGCTCAATCAAAAGAAAGGTTTAACAGTGTGAGACGAAAATACACCTTCCTGGGAAGTTTCTCAGAATTCTTCTTTCTAGGTTTTTATGTGAAGATATTTCCTTTTCCACTATAGGCCTCAAAGCGTTCCAAATATCCACTTGCAGATCCTACAAATAGAGCCTTTCAAAACTGCTCAATCGAAAGAAAGGTTCAACTCTGTGAGATGAATGCAGACATCAAAAAGAAGTTTCTCAGAATGCTTCCGCCTTGTTTTTATGTGAAGATATTTCCTTTTTCACCATAGGCCTCAAAGCACTGGTAATATCCATTTGTAGATACTACAAAAAGACTGTTCCCAAACTGCTCAATAAAAAGAAAGTTTCAACTCTATGAGATAAAAGCTAATATCACAAAGAAGTTTCTCAGAAACTTTCTATCTAGTTTTTATGTGAACATATTTCTTATCACCCCATAGACCTCAATCGGCTCACAAGTATCCTTCTGCAGATTGTAAAAAACTACTGTTTCCAAACCGCTCAATCACAGGAAAGGTTTAACTCTGTGAAATGAATGCATCCATCCCAGAGAAGTTTCTCAGAATGCTTCCGTCTCGTTTCCATGTGAAGAAGATTCCTTTTCCACCATATTCCTCATGCGCTCCAAATAAACACTTGCAGATTCCGCTAAAAGAGTGTTTCAAAACTGCTCAATCAAAAGAAAGGTTCTAGTCGGTGAGATGAATGCACACATCACAAAGAAGTTTCTATGAATGCTTCTGTCTGATTTATATTGAAGATATTTCCTTTTTAACCGTAGGCCTCAGAGTGCTTAAAATATCCATTTGCAGATACTAGAAAAGACTGTTTCCAAACTGCTCAATCAAAATAAAGTTCAACTCAGTGAGATGAATGCACACATCACCAAGACGTTTCTGAGAAAGATTCTGTCTCGTTTTTATGTGAAGATATTTCCTGTTTCCCCAGAGGCATCAATGGGCTCACAAATATTCCTTTGCACATTCTACAAAATGACTGTTTAGAAGGTGCTCAATCAAAAAAAAATTTCAACAGTGTGAGATGAATGCGCCCATTCAAAGGAAGTTTCTCAGAATTCTTCTGTCCAGTTTTTATGTGAAGATATTTCCTTTTTCACTATAGGCCACAAAGCACTCAAAATATCCACTTGCAGACTCTACAAAAAGAGTGTTTCCACACTGCTCAATCAAAAGAAAAGTTCAACTGTGTGAGATGAATGCACACATCACAAAGAAATTTCTCCAAAAGCTTCTGCCTACTTTTTATGGGAAGATATTTTGTTTTTCAACATAGGCCAAAAGCACTCCAAATATCAATTTGCAGATTCTACAAAAAGACCGTTTCCAAACTGCTCAATCAAGAGAAAGTTTCAACCCGGTGAGTAGAAGTCACACATGACAAAATAGTTTCTCAGAAAGTATCTGTCTAGTTTTTACGTGAAGATATTTCCTATCACCCCAGAAGCCTCAATGGGCTCACAATATTCCTTTGCAGATTCTACAAAACGACAGTTTCAAAACTGCTGAATCAAAAGAAAGGTTCAACTCTGGGAGATGAATGCACAGATCACAAATAAGTTTCTCAGAATGCTGCTGTCTAGTTTTTATGGGAAGATATTTCCTTTTCCACCATAGGCCTCAAAGCTCTCCAAATATCCATTTGCAGACACTGTAAAAAGACTGTTTCCAAACTGCTGAATCAAAAGAAAGGTTGAACTCCATGAGTTGAATGCACACGTCACAAAGGCGTTTCTCAGAATGCTTGTGTCTAGCTTTTATGTGAAGATGTTTCCTTTTCCACCAGAGGCCTCAAAGTGCTTCAAATATACACTTGCAGATCTTGCAAAAAGAGTGTTTCAAAACTGCTCAATCAAAAGAAAGGTTGAAGTCTGTGAGATGAATGTACACATCACAAAGAAGTTTCTAAGAATGCTTCTGTCTGGTTTTATGTAAAGATATTTCCTTTTCTACTATAGGCCACAAAGCACTCCAAATATCAACTTGCAGATTCTGCAGAAAGAGTTTTTCAAAGCTGCTCAATCAAAAGAAAAGTTCAACTCTTTGAGATGAATGCACACATCAGGAAGTTCCTCAGAATGCTTCTATTTTTATGTGAAGATATAGCCTTTTCTACCATAGACGACAAAACGCTCCAAATATCCCCTTGCAGTTTCTACTAAAAGAGTGTTTCCAAACTGCTCAATCAAAAGAAGTTTCAACTCTGTGAGATGAATGCACTCATCAATAAGAAGTTTCTCAGTAATTTTCTGTCTAGTTTTTATGTGAAGATATTTCCTTTCCTACTATAGGCCTGAAAGTGCTCCAAATATCCGTTTGCAGATACTGCAAAAAGACTGTTTCCAAACTGCTCAATCAAAGGAAATGTCCAAATGCTGTGAGTTGAATGCACGCATCTCAAAGAGATTACTCATAATGATTCTGTCTAGTTTTGATGTGAAGATATTTGCTTTTCCACCAGTGGCCTCAAACTCTCCAAATATCCACTTGCAGATTCTACAATAAGAGTGTTTCAAAACTGCTCAATCAAAGAAAGGTTCAACACTGTGAGATGAATGCACACGTCACAAAGCACTTTCTTAGAATGCTTCTGTCTAGTTTTTATGTGAAGATATTTCGTTTTTCACCATAGGCCGCAAGGCGTTCCAAATATCCCCTTCAGATTCTACAGAAAGAGTGTTTCAAAACTGTTCAATCAAAAGAAAGGTTCAACCCTGGTGATGAATGCACGCATCACAGAGCAGTTTCTCATAATATTTATCTGTCTAGTTTTTGTGTGTATATATTTCCTTTTCCACCACAGGCCCCAAAGCACTCCAAATATCCATTTGCAGGTACTACAAAAAGACTGTTTCCAAACTGCTCAATCAAAAGAAAAGTTTAAATCTGTGAGTTGAATGAGCACATCACAAATAAGTTTCTCAGAATGCTTCTGTCTAGTTTTTATGTGAATATATTTCCTTTTCCACTATAGGCCGTAATGCGCTCCAAATATCCACCTGCAGATTCTACAAAAAGACTGTTTCCAAACTGCTCAATCAAAAGAAAAGTTCAACTCTGTGAGATGAATGAGCACATCACAAAGAAGTTTCTCAGAATGCTTCTATCTAGTTTTTATGTGAATATATTTCCTTTTCCACCACAGGCCACAAACACTCCAAATATCCACTTGAAGATTCTACAAAAAGAGTGCTTCAAAAATGCTCAATCAAAAGAAAGGTTCAACTGCTTTGAGATGGATGCACACATCACAAAGAAGCTTCTCAGAATGTTTCTGTCTAGTTTTTTTGTGAAGATATTTCCTTTTCCACCGTAGTCCTCAAGTCTCTCCAAATATCTACTTTCAGAATCTCCATAAAGAGTGTTTTAAAACTGCTGTACCAAAGAAAGTTTCATGTCTGAGTTATGACTGCATACAACACAGAGAACTTTCTCAAAGTGCTTCTGTTTATTTTTCTTATGAAGATATTTCCTTTTCCACTATGGGCCACAGAGCGCTCCAAATATCCACTGGCAGATTCTACAAAAAGAGTGTTTCAAAACTGCTCAATCAGTAGAAAGTTTGAAGTGTGTGAGATGAATGTACACATCACAAAGGAGTTTCTAAGAATGCTTCCATCTGAATTTTATGTGAGGATATTTCCTTTTTCACCATAGGCCTCAGTACACTCCAAATATCCATTTACAGATAATACAAATGACTGTATCCAAACTGCTCAATCAAAAGAAAGTTCAACTGTGTATGATGAATGCACACATCACAAGGGTGTTTCTCAGAAAGTTTTTGTCTTGTTTTTAGGTGAAGATATTTCTTATTTCCCCAGAGGCCTCAATGGGATCTCAAATATTCCCTTTCATATTCTACTAAATGACTGTATCGAAGCTGCTCAATCAAAAGACGGGTTTAACAGTGTGAGACGAAAATACACCTTCCTAGGAAGTTTCTCAGAATTCTTCCTTCTAGGTTTTTATGTGAAGATATTTCGTTTTCCACTATAGGCCTCAAAGCGTTCCAAATATCCACTTGCAGATCCTACAAATAGAGCCTTTCAAAACTGCTCAATCAAAAGAAAGGTTCAACTCTGTGAGATGAATGCAGACATCAAAAAGAAGTTTCTCAGAATGCTTCCGCCTTGTTTTTATGTGAAGATATTTCCTTTTTCACCATAGGCCTCAAAGCACTGGTAATATCCATTTGCAGATACTACAAAAAGACTGTCCCCAAACTGCTCAATAAAAAGAAAGTTTCAACTCTAGGAGATAAAAGCAAATATCACAAAGAAGTTTCTCAGAAACTTTCTATCTAGTTTTTATGTGAACATATTTCTTATCACCCCATAGACCTCAATCGGCTCACAAGTATCCTTCTGCAGATTATAAAAAACGACTGTTTCCAAACCGCTCAATCACAGGAAAGGTTTAACTCTGTGAAATGAATGCACCCATCACAGAGAAGTTTCTCAGAATGCTTCTGTCTCGTTTTTATGTGAAGAAGATTCCTTTTCCACCATATTCCTCATGCACTCCAAATAAACACTTGCAGATTCTGCTAAAAGAGTGTTTCAAAACTGCTCAATCAAAAGAAAGGTTCTAGTCGGTGAGACGAATGCACACATCACAAAGAAGTTTCTATGAATGCTTCTGTCTGATTTATATTGAAGATATTTCCTTTTTCACCGTAGGCTTCAGAGTGCTTAAAATATCCATTTGCAGATACTAGAAAAGACACTTTCCAAACTGCTCAATCAAAATAAAGTTCAACTCAGTGAGATGAATGCACACATCACCAAGACGTTTCTGAGAAAGATTCTGTCTCGTTTTTATGTGAAGATATTTCCTATTTCCCCAGAGGCATCAATGGGCTCACAAATATTCCTTTGCATATTCTACAAAATGACTGTTTAGAAGGTGCTCAATCAAAAAAAAAAGTTCAACAATGTGAGATGAATGCGCACATTCAAAGGAAGTTTCTCAGAATTCTTCTATCTAGTTTTTATGTGAAGATATTTCCTTTTTCACTGTAGGCCACAAAGTGCTCCAAATATCCACTTGCAGACTCTACAAAACGAGTGTATCCACACTGCTCAATCAAAAGAAAATTTCAACTGTGTGAGATGAATGCACACATCAAAATAAATTTCTCCAAAACTTCTGCCTACTTTTTATGGGAAGATATTTCGTTTTTCAACGTAGGCCAAAAGCACTCCAAATATCAATTTGCAGATTCTACAAAAAGACTGTTTCCAAACTGCTCAATCAAGAGAAAGTTTCAACCTGGTGAGTAGAAGTCACACATGACAAAATAGTTTCTCAGAAAGTATCTGTCTAGTTTTTATGTGAAGATATTTCTTATCACCCCAGAAGCCTCAATGGGCTCACAAATATTCCTTTGCAGATTCTACAAAACGACAGTTTCAAAACTGCTGAATCAAAAGAAAGGTTCAACTCTGTGAGATGAATGCACAGATCACAAATAAGTTTCTCAGAATGCTGCTGTCTAGTTTTTATGGGAAGAGATTTCCTTTTCCACCATAGGCCTCAAAGCTCTCCAAATAGCCATTTGCAGATACTGTAAAAAGACTGTTTCCAAACTGCTGAATCAAAAGAAAGGTTGAACTCCATGAGTTGAATGCACACGTCACAAAGAAGTTTCTCAGAATTCTTCTGACTAGTTTTTATGTGAAGATATTTTCTTTTCCACCATAGGCCTCAAAGCGCTAAAAATATCCACTTGAAGATTCTACAGAAAGAGAGTTTCAAAACTGCTCAAACAAAAGAAAGATTCAACTCTGTGAGATGAATGCACACATCACAAAGAAGTTTCTCAGAATGCTTCTGTCTAGTTTTATGTGAAGATATTTCCTTTTCTACTATAGGCCGCAAAGTACTCCAAATATCAACTTGCAGATTCTGCAGAAAGAGTTTTTCAAAGCTGCTCAATCAAAAGAAAAGTTCAACTCTTTGAGATGAATGCACACGTCATGAAGAAGTTCCTCAGAATGCTTCTATTTTTATGTGAAGACATATCCTTTTCTACCATAGACCACAAAACGCTCCAAATATCCCCTTGCAGTTTCTACTAAAAGAGTGTTTCCAAACTGCTCAATCAAAAGAAGTTTCAACTCTGTGAGATGAATGCACACATCATTAAGAAGTTTCTCAGTAATTTTCTGTCTAGTTTTTATGTGAAGATATTTCCTTTCCTACTATAGGCCTGAAAGTGCTCCAAATATCCGTTTGCAGATACTGCAAAAAGACTGTTTCCACACTGCTCAATCAAAGGAAATGTCCAACTCTGTGAGTTCAATGCACGCATCTCAAAGAGATTACTTATAATGATTCTGTCTAGTTTTGATGTGAAGATATTTGCTTTTCCACCAGTGACCTCAAACTCTCCAAATATCCACTTGCAGATTCTACAATAAGAGTGTTTCAAAACTGCTCAATCAAAAGAAAGCTTCAACACTGTGAGATGAATGCACACGTCACAAAGCACTTTCTTAGAATGCATCTGTCTAGCTTTTATGTGAAGATATTTCCTTTTTCACCATAGGCTGCAAAGCGCTCCAAATATCCCTTTCAGATTCTACAGAAAGAGAGTTTCAAAACTGTTCAATCAAAAGAGAAACTCAACTCTGGTGATGAATGCACGCATCACAAAGCAGTTTCTCATAATATTTCTGTCTAGTTTTTATGTGAAGATATTTCATTTTCCACTATAGGCCGTAATGCACTCCTAATATCCACTTGCAGATTCTACAGAAAGACTGTTTGCAAACTGCTCAAACAAAAGAAAAGTTCAACTCTGTGAGTTGAATGAGCACATCACAAAGAAGTTTCTCAGCATGCTTCTGTCTAGTTTTTATGTGAATATATTTCCTTTTCCACTATAGGCCGTAATGCACTCCTAATATCCACTTGCAGATTCTACAAAAAGACTGTTTCCAAACTGCTCAATCAAAAGAAAAGCTCAACTCTGTGAGTTGTATGAGCACATCACAAAGAAGTTTCTCAGAATGCTTCTATCTAGTTTTTATGTGAATATATTTCCTTTTCCACCACAGGCCACAAACCCTCCAAATATCCACTTGAAGATTCTACAAAAAGAGTGCTTCAAAAATGCTCAATCAAAAGAAAGGTTCAACTCTTCGAAATGGACGCACACATCACAAAGAAGCTTCTCAGAATGTTTCTGTCTAGTTTTTTTGTGAAGATATTTCCTTTTCCACCGTAGTCCTCAAGTCTCTCCAAATATCTACTTTCAGAATCTCCAAAAAGAGTGTTTTAAAACTGCTGTACCAAAGAAAGTTTCATGTCTGAGTTATGACTGCATACAACACAGAAAACTTTCTCAAAGTGCTTCTGTTTATTTTTTTTATGAAGATATTTCCTTTTCCACTATGGGCAACAGAACGCTCCAAATATCCACTGGCAGATTCTACAAAAAGAGTGTTTCAAAACTGCTCAATCAATAGAAAGTTTGAAGTCTGTGAGATGAATGCACACATCACATAGGAGTTTCTAAGAATGCTTCCATCTGAATTTTATGTGAGGATATTTCCTTTTTCACCATAGGCCTCAATACACTCCAAATATCCATTTACAGAAAATACAAATGACTGTATCCAAACTGCTCAATCAAAAGAAATTTCAACTGTGCATGATGAATGCACACATCACAAGGGGGTTTCTCAGAAAGATTTTGTCTAGTTTTTAGGTGAAGATATTTCTTATTTCCCCAGAGGCCTCAATGGGCTCTCAAATATTCCCTTTCATATTCTACTAAATGACTGTATCGAAGCTGCTCAATCAAAAGACGGGTTTAACAGTGTGAGACGAAAATACAGCTTCCTAGGAAGTTTCTCAGAATTCTTCTTTCTAGTTTTTTATGTGAAGATATTTCCTTTTCCACTATAGGCCTCAAAGCGTTCCAAATATCCACTTGCAGATACTACAAATAGAGCGTTTCAAAACTGCTCAATCAAAAGAAATGTTCAACTCTGTGAGATGAATGCAGACATCAAAAAGAAGTTTCTCAGAATGCTTCTGCCTTGTTTTTATGTGAAGATATTTCCTTTTTCAAAATAGGCCTCAAAGCACTGGTAATATCCATTTGCAGATACTACAAAAAGACTGTTCCCAAACTGCTCAATAAAAATAAAGTTTCAACTCTATGAGATAAAAGCAAATATCACAAAGAAGTTTCTCAGAAACTTTCTGTCTAGTTTTTATGTGAACATATTTCCTATCGCCCCATAGGCCTCAATCAGCTCAAAAATATCCTTCTGCAGATTATACAAAACAAATGTTTCCAAACCATTCAATCACAGGAAGGGTTTAACTTTGTGAAATGAATGCGCCCATCACAGAAAAGTTTCTCAGAATGTTTCCGTCTCGTTTTCATGTGAAGAAGATTCCTTTTCCACCATATTCCTCATGCGTTCCAAATAAACACTTGCAGATTCCGCTAAAAGAGTGTTTCAAAACTGCTCAATCAAAAGAAAGGTTCTAGTCGGTGAGATGAATGCACACATCCCAAAGAAGTTTCTATGAATGCTTCTGTCTGATTTATATTGAAGATATTTCCTTTTTCACTGTAGGCCTCAGAGTGCTTAAAATATCCATTTGCAGATACTAGAAAAGACTGTTTCCAAACTGCTCAATCAAAATAAAGTTCAACTCAGTGAGATGAATGCACACATCACCAAGACGTTTCTGAGAAAGATTTCTGTCTCGTTTTTATGTGAAGATATTTCCTGTTTCCCCAGAGGCATCAATGGGCTCACAAATATTCCTTTGCATATTCTACAAAATGACTGTTTAGAAGGTGCTCAATCAAAAAAAAAAGTTCAACAGTGTGAGATGAATGCGCCCATTCAAAGGAAGTTTCTCAGAATTCTTCTATCTAGTTTTTATGTGAAGATATTTCCTTTTTCACTGTAGGCCACAAAGTGCTCCAAATATCCACTTGCAGACGCTACAAAACGAGTGTATCCACACTGCTCAATCAAAAGAAAATTTCAACTGTGTGAGATGAATGCACACATCAAAATAAATTTCTCCAAAACTTCTGCCTACTTTTTATGGGAAGATATTTCGTTTTTCAACGTAGGCCAGAAGCACTCCAAATATCAATTTGCAGATTCTACAAAAAGACTGTTTCCAAACTGCTCAATCAAGAGAAAGTTTCAACCTGGTGAGTAGAAGTCACACATGACAAAATAGTTTCTCAGAAAGTATCTGTCTAGTTTTTATGTGAAGATATTTCCTATCACCCCAGAAGCCTCCATGGGCTCACAAATATTCCTTTGCAGATTCTACAAAACGACAGTTTCAAAACTGCTGAATCAAAAGAAAGGTTCAACTCCGTGAGATGAATGCACAGATCACAAATAAGTTTCTCAGAATGCTGCTGTCTAGTTTTTATGGGAAGAGATTTCCTTTTCCACCATAGGCCTCAAAGCTCTCCAAATATCCATCTGCAGATACTGTAAAAAGACTGTTTCCAAACTGCTGAATCAAAAGAAAGGTTGAACTCCATGAGTTGAATGCACACGTCACAAAGAAGTTTCTCAGAATGCTTGTGTCTAGTTTTTATGTGAAGATGCTTCCTTTTCCACCAGAAGCCTCAAAGCACTTCAAATATACACTTGCAGATACTGCAAAAAGAGTGTTTCAAAACTGCTCAATCAATAGAAAGTTTGAAGTCTGTGAGATGAATGCACACATCACAAAGAAGTTTCTGAGAATGCTTCTGTCTAGTTTTATGTAAAGATATTTCCTTTTCTACTATAGGCCACAAAGCACTCCAAATATCAACTTGCAGATTCTGCAGAAAGAGATTTTCAAAGCTGCTCAATCAAAAGAAAAGTTCAACTCTTTGAGATTAATGCACACATCATGAAGTTCCTCAGAATGCTTCTATTTTTATGTGAAGATATAGCCTTTTCTGCCATAGACCACAAAACGCTCCAAATATCCCCTTGCAGTTTCTACTAAAAGAGTGTTTCCAAACTGCTCAATCAAAAGAAAGTTTCAACTCTGTGAGATGAATGCACACATCATAAAGAAGTTTCTCAGTAATTTTCTGTCTAGTTTTTATGTGAAGATATTTCCTTTCCTACTATAGGCCTGAAAGTGCTCCAAATATCCGCTTGCAGATACTGCAAAAAGACTGTTTCCAAACTGCTCAATCAAAGGAAACGGTCCAACTCTGTGAGTTGAATGCACTGCATCTCAAAGAGATTACTTATAATGATTCTGTCTAGTTTTGATGTGAAGATATTTGCTTTTCCACCAGTGACCTCAAACTCTCCAAATATCCACTTGCAGATTCTACAATAAGAGTGTTTCAAAACTGCTCAATCAAAAGAAAGGTTCAACACTGTGAGATGAATGCACACGTCACAAAGCACTTTCTTAGAATGCTTCTGTCTAGCTTTTATGTGAAGATATTTCCTTTTTCACCATAGGCTGCAAAGCGCTCCAAATATCCCTTTCAGATTCTACAGAAAGAGTGTTTCAAAACTGATCAATCAAAAGAGAAATTCAACTCTGGTGATGAATGCACGCATCACAAAGCAGTTTCTCATAATGTTTCTGTCTAGTTTTTATGTGAAGGTATTTCGTTTTCCACTATAGGCCGTAAAGCACTCCAAATATCCACTTGCAGATTCTACAAAAAGACTGTTTCCAAACTACTCAATCAAAAGAAATGTTCAACTTTTTTAGTTGAATGCACGCATCACAAAGAAGTTTCTCAGCATGCTTCTGTCTAGTTTTTATGTGAATATATTTCCTTTTCCACTATAGGCCATCATGCGCTCCAAATATCCACTTGCAGATTCTACAAAAAGACTGTTTCCAAACTGCTCAATCAAAAGAAAAGCTCAACTCTGTGAGTTGAATGAGCACATCACAAAGAAGTTTCTCAGAATGCTTCTATCTAGTTTTTATGTGAATATATTTCCTTTTCCACCACAGGCCACAAACACTCCAAATATCCACTTGAAGATTCTACAAAAAGAGTGCTTCAAAAATGCTCAATCAAAAGAAAGGTTCAACTCTTCGAGATGGATGCACACATCACAAAGAAGCTTCTCAGAATGTTTCTGTCTAGTTTTTTGGTGAAGATATTTCCTTTTCCACCGTAGTCCTCAAGTCTCTCCAAATATCTACTTTCAGAATCTCCAAAAAGAGTGTTTTAAAACTGCTGTACCAAAGAAAGTTTCATGTCTGAGATATGACTGCATACAACACAGAGAAGTTTCTCAAAGTGCTTCTGTTTATTTTTTTGATGAAGATATTTCCTTTTCCACTATTGGCCACAGAGCGCTCCAAATATCCACTGGCAGATTCTACAAAAAGAGTGTTTCAACACTGCTCAATCAATAGAAAGTTTGAAGTCTGTGAGATGAATGTACACATCACAAAGGAGTTTCTAAGAATGCTTCCATCTGAATTTTATGTGAGGATATTTCCTTTTTCACCATAGGCGTCAGTACATTCCAAATATCCATTTACAGATAATACAAATGACTGTATCCAAACTGCTCAATCAAAAGAAAGTTCAACTGTGTATGATGAATGCACACATCACAAGGGTGTTTCTCAGAAAGTTTTTGTCTAGTTTTTAGATGAAGATATTTCTTATTTCCCAAGAGGCCTCAATGGGCTCTCAAATATTCTCTTTCAGATTCTACTAAATGACTGTATCGAAGCTGCTCAATCAAAAGAAAGGTTCAACAGTGTGAGAAGAAAGCACACATTCCTAGGAAGTTTCTCAGAATTCTTCTTTCTAGTTTTTTATGTGAAGATATTTCCTTTTCCACTATAGGCCTCAAAGCGTTCCAAATATCCACTTGCAGATACTACAAATAGAGCGTTTCAAAACTGCTCAATCAAAAGAAAGGTTCAACTCTGTGAGATGAATGCAGACATCAAAAAGAAGTTTCTCAGAATTCTTCTGCCTTGTATTTATGGGAAGATATTTCCTTTTTCACCATAGGTCTCAAAGCACTGGTAATATCCATTTGCAGATACTACAAAAAGACTGTTCCCAAACTGCTCAATCAAAAGAAAGTTTCAACTCTGTGAGATGAAAGCAAATATCACAAAGAAGTTTCTCATAAATTTTCTATCTAGTTTTTATGTGAACATATTTCTTATCACCCCATAGACCTCAATCGGCTCACAAGTATCCTTCTGCAGATTGTAAAAAACTACTGTTTCCAAACCGCTCAGTCACAGGAAAGGTTTAACTCTGTGAAATGAATGCATCCATCACAGAGAAGTTTCTCAGAATGCTTCCGTCCGTTTTCATGTGAAGAAGATTCCTTTTCCACCATATTCCTCATGCGCTCCAAATAAACACTTGCAGATTCCGCTAAAAGAGTGTTTCAAAACTGCTCAATCAAAAGAAAGGTTCTAGTCGGTGAGATGAATGCACACATCACAAAGAAGTTTCTATGAATGCTTCTGTCTGATTTATATTGAAGATATTTCCTTTTTCACCGTAGGCCTCAGAGTGTTTAAAATATCCATTTGCAGATACTAGAAAAGACTGTTTCCAAACTGCTCAATCAAAATAAAGTTCAACTCAGTGAGATGAATGCACACATCACCAAGACGTTTCTGAGAAAGATTCTGTCTCGTTTTTATGTGAAGATATTTCCTGTTTCCCCAGAGGCATCAATGGGCTCACAAATATTCCTTTGCATATTCTACAAAATGACTGTTTAGAAGGTGCTCAATCAAAAAAGAAGTTCAACAGTGTGAGATGAATGCGCCCATTCAAAGGAAGTTTCTCAGAATTCTTCTATCTAGTTTTTATGTGAAGATATTTCCTTTTTCACTATAGGCCACAAAGTGCTCCAAATATCCACTTGCAGACTCTACAAAACGAGTGTATCCACACTGCTCAATCAAAAGAAAATTTCAACTGTGTGAGATGAATGCACACATCAAAATAAATTTCTCCAAAATTT
Organism: Homo sapiens; assembly: GCF_000001405.40. Lineage (NCBI taxonomy): Eukaryota > Metazoa > Chordata > Mammalia > Primates > Hominidae > Homo > Homo sapiens. The sequence goes on along the minus strand of NC_000014.9, from coordinate 16,149,996 downwards.
CTGCCTACTTTTTATGGGAAGATATTTCGTTTTTCAACGTAGGCCAAAAGCACTCCAAATATCAATTTGCAGATTCTACAAAAAGACTGTTTCCAAACTGCTCAATCAACAGAATGTTTCAACCCGGTGAGTAGAAGTCACACATGACAAAATAGTTTCTCAGAAAGTATCTGTCTAGTTTTTATGTGAAGATATTTCCTATTACCCCAGAAGCCTCAATGGGCTCACAAATATTCCTTTGCAGATTCTACAAAACGACAGTTTCAAAACTGCTGAATCAAAAGAAAGGTTCAACTCTGTGAGATGAATGCACAGATCACAAATAAGTTTCTCAGAATGCTTCTGTCTAGTTTTTATGTGAAGATATTTCCTTTTCCACCATAGGCCTCAAAGCTCTCCAAATATCCATTTGCAGATACTACAAAAAGACTGTTTCCAAACTGCTGAATCAAAAGAAAGGTTCAACTACATGAGTTGAATGCACACATCACAAAGAAGTTTCTCAGAAAGCTTGTGTCTAGTTTTTATGTGAAGATGTTTCCTTTTCCACCACAGGCCTCAAAGCGCTTCAAATATACACTTGCAGATCCTGCAAAAAGAGTGTTTCAAAACTGCTCAATCAAAAGAAAGGTTGAAGTCTGTGAGATGAATGCACTCCTCACAAAGTAGTTTCTAAGAATGCTTCTGTCTAGTTTTATGTAAAGATATTTCCTTTTCTACTATAGGCCACAAAGCACTCCAAATATCAACTTGCAGATTCTGCAGAAAGAGTTTTTCAAAGCTGCTCAGTCAAAAGACAAGTTCAACTCTTTGAGATGAATGCACACATCATGAAGTTCCTCAGAATGCTTCTATTTTTATGTGAAGATATATCCTTTTCTACCATAGACCACAAAACGCTCCAAATATCCCCTTGCAGTTTCTACTAAAAGAGTGTTTCCAAACGGCTCAATCAAAAGAAAGTTTCAACTCTGTGAGATGAATGCACACATCATTAAGAAGTGTCTCAGTAATTTTCTGTCTAGTTTTTATGTGAAGATATTTCCTTTCCTACTATAGGCCTGAAAGTGCTGCAAATATCCGTTTGCAGATACTGCAAAAAGACTGTTTCCACACTGCTCAATCAAAGGAAATGTCCAACTCTGTGAGTTGAATGCATGCATCTCAAAGAGATTACTTATAATGATTCTGTCTAGTTTTTAGGTGAAGATATTCCCTTTTAAACTGTAGTCTGCAAAGCACTCCAAATATACACTTGCAGATTCTACAAAAAGAGTGTTTCAAAATTGCTCAATCAAAAGAAGGGTTCAACAGTGTTAGTTGAATGCACACATCACAAAGAATTTTCCCAGAATGCTTCTGTCTAGCTTTTATGTGAAGATATTTCCTTTTTCACCATAGGCTGCAAAGCGCTGCAAATATCCCTTTCAGATTCTACAGAAAGAATGTTTCAAAACTGTTCAATCAAAAGAGAAACTCAACTCTGGTGATGAATGCACGCATCACAAAGCAGTTTCTCATAATGTTTCTGTCTAGTTTTTATGTGAAGATATTTCATTCTCCATTATAGGCCGTAATACACTCCTAATATCCACTTGCAGATTCTACAAAAAGACTGTTTGCAAACTGCTCAAACAAAAGAAAAGTTCAACTCTGTGAGTTGAATGAGCACATCACAAAGAAGTTTCTCAGAATGCTTCTGTCTAGTTTTTATGTGAATATATTTCCTTTTCCACTATAGGTCGTCATGCGCTCCAAATATCCACTTGCAGATTCTACAAAAAGACTGTTTCCAAACTGCTCAATCAAAAGAAAAGCTCAACTCTGTGAGTTGAATGAGCACATCACAAAGAAGTTTCTCAGAATGCTTCTGTCTAGTTTTTATGTGAAGATATTTCCTTTTCCACCACAGGCCACAAAGCATTCCAAATATCCACTTGAAGATTCTACAAAAAGAGTGCTTCAAAAATGCTCAATCAAAAGAAAGGTTCAACTCTTTGAGATGGATGCACATATCACAAAGAAGCTTCTCAGAATGCTTCTGTCTACTTTTTTTGTGAAGATATTTCCTTTTCCACCGTAGTCCTCAAGTCTCTCCAAATACCTACTTTCAGAATCTCCAAAAAGAGTGTTTTAAAACTGCTGTACCAAAGAAAGTTTCATGTCTGAGATATGACTGCATACAACACAGAGAACTTTCTCAAGGTGCTTCTGTTTATTTTTTTTATGAAGATATTTCCTTTTCCACTATGGGCCACAGTAGCGCTCCAAATATCCACTGGCAGATTCTACAAAAAGAGTGTTTCAAAACTGCTCAATCAATAGAAAGTTTGAAGTCTGTGAGATGAGTGCACACATCACAAAGGAGTTTCTAAGAATGCTTCCATCTGAATTTTATGTGAGGATATTTCCTTTTTCACCATAGGCCTCAGTACACTCCAAATATCCATTTACAGATAGTACAAATGACTGTATCCAAACTGCTCAATCAAAAGAAAGTTCAACTGTGTATGATGAATGCACACATCACAAGGGTGTTTCTCAGAAAATTTTTGTCTAGTTTTTAGGTGAAGATATTTCTTATTTCCCAAGAGGCCTCAATGGGCTCTCAAATATTCTCTTTCAGATTCTACTAAATGACTGTATCGAAGCTGCTCAATCAAAAGAAAGGTTCAACAGTGTGAGAAGAAAGTACACATTCCTAGGAAGTTTCTCAGAATTCTTCTTTCTAGGTTTTTATGTGAAGATATTTCCTTTTCCACTATAGGCCTCAAAGCGTTCCAAATATCCACTTGCAGATACTACAAATAGAGCGTTTCTAAACTGCTCAATCAAAAGAAAGGTTCAACTCTGTGAGATGAATGCAGACATCAAAAAGAAGTTTCTCAGAATGCTTCTGCCTTGTTTTTATGTGAAGATATTTCCTTTTTCACCATAGGCCTCAAAGCACTGGTAATATCCATTTGCAGATACTACAAAAAGACTGTTCCCAAACTGCTCAATAAAAAGAAAGTTTCAACTCTATGAGATAAAAGCAAATATCACAAAGAAGTTTCTCAGAATCTTTCTATCTAGTTTTTATGTGAACATATTTCTTATCTCCCCATAGACCTCAATCAGCTCACAAGTATCCTTCTGCAGAGTGTAAAAAACTACTGTTTCCAAACCGTTCAATCACAGGAAAGGTTTAACTCTGTGAAATGAATGCATCCATCACAGAGAAGTTTCTCAGAATGCTTCCGTCTCGTTTCCATGTGAAGAATATTCCTTTTCCACCATATTCCTCATGCGCTCCAAATAAACACTTGCAGATTCCGCTAAAAGAGTGTTTCAAAACTGCTCAATCAAAAGAAAGGTTCTAGTCGGTGAGATGAATGCACACATCACAAAGAAGTTTCTATGAATGCTTCTGTCTGATTTATATTGAAGATATTTCCTTTTTCACCGTAGGCCTCAGAGTGCTTCAAATATCCATTTGCAGATAGTAGAAAAGACTGTTTCCAAACTGCTCAATCAAAATAAAGTTCAACTCAGTGAGATGAATGCACACATCACCAAGACGTTTCTGAGAAAGATTCTGTCTCGTTTTTATGTGAAGATATTTCCTGTTTCCCCAGAGGCATCAATGGGCTCACAAATATTCCTTTGCATATTCTACAAAATGACTGTTTAGAAGGTGCTCAATCAAAAAAAGAGTTCAACAGTGTGAGATGAATGCGCCCATTCAAAGGAAGTTTCTCAGAATTCTTTTATCTAGTTTTTATGTGAAGATATTTCCTTTTTCACTATAGGCCGCAAAGTGCTCCAAATATCCACTTGCAGACTCTACAAAACGAGTGTATCCACACTGCTCAATCAAAAGAAAATTTCAACTGTGTGAGATGAATGCACACATCAAAATAAATTTCTCCAAAACTTCTGCCTACTTTATATGGGAAGATATTTCGTTTTACAACGTAGGCCAAAAGCACTCCAAATATCAATTTGCAGATTCTACAAAAAGACTGTTTCCAAACTGCTCAATCAAGAGAAAGTTTCAACCCAGTGAGTAGAAGTCACACATGACAAAATAGTTTCTCAGAAAGTATCTGTCTAGTTTTTATGTGAAGATATTTCCTATCACCCCATACGTCTCAATGGGCTCAAAAATATCCCTCTGCAGATTCTACGAAACGATTGTTTCCAAACTGTTCAATACAAGGAAAGGTTCAACTCCGTGAAGTGAATACACCCATCAGGCAGAAGTTTCTCAGAATGCTTGCTGTCTAGTTTTTATGGGAAGAGATTTCCTTTTCCACCATAGGCCTCAAAGCTCTCCAAATATCCATTTGCAGATACTGTAAAAAGACTGTTTCCAAACTGCTGAATCAAAAGAAAGGTTGAACTCCATGAGTTGAATGCACACGTCACAAAGAAGTTTCTCAGAATGCTTCTGACTAGTTTTTATGTGAAGATATTTTCTTTTCCAACATAGGCCTCAAAGCGCTGAAAATATCCACTTGAAGATTCTACAAAAAGAGAGTTTCAAAACTGCTCAAACAAAAGAAAGATTCAACTCTGTGAGATGAATGCACACATCACAAAGAAGTTTCTCAGAATGCTTCTGTCTAGTTTTATGTAAAGATATTTCCTTTTCTACTATAGGCCACAAAGCACTCCAAATATCAACTTGCAGATTCTGCAGAAAGAGTTTTTCAAAGCTGCTCAATCAAAAGAAAAGTTCAACTCTTTGTGATGAATGCACACATCATGAAGTTCCTCAGAATGCTTCTATTTTTATGTGAAGATATAGCCTTTTCTACCATAGACCACAAAACGCTCCAAATATCCCCTTGCAGTTTCTACTAAAAGAGAGTTTCCAAACGGCTCAATCAAAAGAAGTTTCAACTCTGTGAGATGAATGCACACATCATTAAGAAGTTTCTCAGTAATTTTCTGTCTAGTTTTTAGGTGAAGATATTTCCTTTCCTACTATAGGCCTGAAAGTGCTCCAAATATCCGCTTGCAGATACTGCAAAAAGACTGTTTCCAAACTGCTCAATCAAAGGAAACGTCCAACTCTGTGAGTTGAATGCACGCATCTCAAAGAGATTACTTATAATGATCCTGTCTAGTTTTGATGTGAAGATATTTGCTTTTCCACCAGTGGCCTCAAACTCTCGAAATATCCACTTGCAGATTCTACAATAAGAGTGTTTCAAAAGTGCTCAATCAAAAGAAAGGTTCAACACTGTGAGATGAATGCACACGTCACAAAGCACTTTCTTAGAATGCTTCTGTCTAGCTTTTATGTGAAGATATTTGCTTTTTCACCATAGGCTGCAAAGCGCTCCAAATATCCCTTTCAGATTCTACAGAAAGAGTGTTTCAAAACTGTTCAATCAAAAGAGAAACTCAACTCTGGTGATGAATGCAAGCATCACAAAGCAGTTTCTCATAACGTTTCTGTCTATTTTTTATGTGAAGTTATTTCATTTTCCACTATAGGCCGTAATGCACTCCTAATATCCACTTGCAGATTCTACAAAAAGACTGATTGCAAACTGCTCAAACAAAAGAAAAGTTCAACTCTGTGAGTTGAATGAGCACATCACAAAGAAGTTTCTCAGAATGCTTCTGTCTAGTTTTTATGTGAATATATTTCCTTTTCCACTATAGGCCGTAATGCGCTCCAAATATCCACCTGCAGATTCTACAAAAAGACTGTTTCCAAACTGCTCAATCAAAAGAAAAGCTCAACTCTGTGAGTTGAATGAGCACATCACAAAGAAGCTCTCAGAATGCTTCTATCTAGTTTTTATGTGAATATATTTGCTTTTCCACCACAGGCCACAAACCCTCCAAATATCCACTTGAAGATTCTACAAAAAGAGTGCCTCAAAAATGCGCAATCAAAAGAAAGGTTCAACTCTTCGAGATGGACGCACACATCACAAAGAAGCTTCTCAGAATGTTTCTTTTTTGTCTGTCTAGTTTTTTTGTGAAGATATTTCCTTTTCCACCGTAGTCCTCAAGTCTCTCCAAATATCTACTTTCAGAATCTCCAAAAAGAGTGTTTTAAAACTGCTGTACCAAAGAAAGTTTCATGTCTGAGATATGACTGCATACAACACAGAGAACTTTCTTAAAGTGCTTCTGTTTATTTTTTTTATGAAGATATTTCCTTATCCACTATTGGCCACAGAGCGCTCCAAATATCCACTGGCAGATTCTACAAAAAGAGAGTTTCAAAACTGCTCAATCATTAGAAAGTTTGAAGTCTGTGAGATGAATGAACACAACACAAAGGAGTTTCTAAGAATGCTTCCATCTGATTTTTATGTGAAGATATTTCCTTTTTCACCATAGGCCTCATTACACTCCAAATATCCATTTATAGATAATACAAATGACTGTTTCCAAACTGCTCAATCAAAAGAAAGTTCAACTGCGTGTGATAAATGCACACATCACAAGGAAGTTGCTCAGAAAGTTTTGTCTTGTTTTTAGGTGAAGATATTTCTTATTTCCCCAGAGGCCTCAATGGGCTCTCAAATATTCCCTTTCATATTCTACTAAAAGACTGTATCGAAGCTGCTCAATCAAAAGACGGGTTTAACAGTGTGAGACGAAAATAAACCTTCCTAGGAAGTTTCTCAGAATTCTTTCTTTCTGGTTTTTTATGTGAAGATATTTCCTTTTCCACTATAGGCCTCAAAGCGTTCCAAATATCCACTTGCAGACACTACAAATAGAGCGTTTCAAAACTGCTCAATCAAAAGAAAGGTTCAACTCTGTGAGATGAATGCAGACATCAAAAAGAAGTTTCTCAGAATGCTTCTGCCTTGTTTTTATGTGAAGATATTTCCTTTTTCACCATAGGCCTCAAAGCCCTGGTAATATCCATTTGCAGATACTACAAAAAGACTGTTCCCAAACTGCTCAATAAAAAGAAAGTTTCAACTCTATGAGATAAAAGCAAATATCACAAAGAAGTTTCTCAGAAACTTTCTATCTAGTTTTTATGTGAACATATTTCTTATCACCCCATAGACCTCAATCGGCTCACAAGTATCCTTCTGCAGATTGTAAAAAACTACTGTTTCCAAACCGCTCAATCACAGGAAAGGTTTAACTCTGGGAAATGAATGCATCCATCACAGAGAAGTTTCTCAGAATGCTTCTGTCTCGTTTTTATGTGAAGAAGATTCCTTTTCCACCATATTCCTCATGCGCTTCAAACATACATTGCAGATTCTACAAAAAGAGTGTTTCAAAACTGCTAAATCAAAAGAAAAGTTCTAATCTGTGAGATGAATGCACACCTCACAAAGAAGTTTCTATGAATGCTTCTGTCTGATTTATATTGAAGATATTTCCTTTTTCACCGTAGGCCTCAGAGCGCTTAAAATATCCATTTGCAGATACTAGAAAAAGACTGTTTCCAAACTGCTCAATAAAAATAAAGTTCAACTCAGTGAGATGAATGCACACATCACAAAGAAGTTTCTGAGAAAGATTCTGTCTCGTTTTTATGTGAAGATATTTCCTGTTTCCCCAGAGGCATCAATGGGCTCACAAATATTCCTTTGCATATTCTACAAAATGACTGTTTAGACGGTGATCAATCAAAAAAAAAAGTTCAACAGTGTGAGATGAATGCGCCCATTCAAAGGAAGTTTCTCAGAATTCTTCTATCTAGTTTTTATGTGAAGATATTTCCTTTTTCACTATAGGCCACAAAGTGCTCCAAATATCCACTTGCAGACTCTACAAAACGAGTGTATCCACACTGCTCAATCAAAAGAAAATTTCAACTGTGTGAGATGAATGCACACATCAAAATAAGTTTCTCCAAAACTTCTGCCTACTTTTTATGGGAAGATATTTCGTTTTTCAACGTAGGCCAAAAGCACTCCAAATATCAATTTGCAGATTCTACAAAAAGACTGTTTCCAAACTGCTCAATCAAGAGAAAGTTTCAACCCTGTGAGTAGAAGTCACACATGACAAAATAGTTTCTCCGAAAGTATCTGTCTAGTTTTAATGTGAAGATATTTCCTATCACCCCAGAAGCCTCAATGGGCTCACAAATATTCCTTTGCAGATTCTACAAAACGACAGTTTCAAAACTGCTGAATCAAAAGAAAGGTTCAACTCTGTGAGATGAATGCACAGATCACAAATAAGTTTCTCAGAATGCTGCTGTCTAGTTTTTATGAGAAGAGATTTCCTTTTCCACCATAGGCGTCAATGCTCTCCAAATAGCCATTTGCAGATACTGTAAAAAGACTGTTTCCAAACTGCTGAATCAAAAGAAAGGTTGAACTCCATGAGTTGAATGCACACGTCACAAAGAAGTTTCTCAGAATGCTTTTGTCTAGTTTTTATGTTAAGATGTTTCCTTTTCCATTCCATGAAGTAAAGTGATGCAAATATCCATTTGTAGATATTACAAAAAGACTGCTTCCAAACTCCTCGATCAAAAGAAAGGTTCAACTCTGTGAGTTGAATGCACACATCACAAAAAATTTTCTCAGAATGCTTCTGTCTAGTTTTATGTAAAGATATTTCCTTTTCTACTATAGGCCACAAAGCACTCCAAATATCAACTTGCAGATTCTGCAGAAAGAGTTATTCAAAGCTGCTCAATCAAAAGAAAAGTTCAACTCCTTGAGACGAATGCACACATCATGAAGTTCCTCAGAATGCTTCTATTTTTATGTGAAGATATATCCTTTTCTACCATAGACCACAAAACTCTCCAAATATCCCCTTGCAGTTTCTACTAAAAGAGTGTTTCCAAACTGCTCAATCAAAAGAAAGTTTCAACTCTGTGAGATGAATGCACACATCATTAAGAAGTTTCTCAGTAATTTTCTGTGTAGTTTTTATGTGAAGATATTTCCTTTCCTACTATAGGCCTGAAAGTGCTCCAAATATCCGTTTGCAGATACTGCAAAAAGACTGTTTCCACACTGCTCAATCAAAGGAAATGTCCAACTCTGTGAGTTGAATGCACGCATCTCAAAGAGATTACTTATAATGATTCTGTCTAGTTTTGATGTGAAGATATTTGCTTTTCCACCAGTGGCCTCATACTCTCCAAATATCCACTTGCAGATTCTACAATAAGAGTGTTTCAAAACTGCTCAATCAAAAGAAAGCTTCAACACTGTGAGATGAATGCACACGTCACAAAGCACTTTCTTAGAATGCTTCTGTCTAGCTTTTATGTGAAGATATTTCCTTTTTCACCATAGGCTGCAAAGCGCTCCAAATATCCCTTTCAGATTCTTCAGAAAGAGTGTTTCAAAACTGTTCAATCAAAAGAGAAACTCAACTACTGGTGATGAATGCACGCATCACAAAGCAGTTTCTCATCATGTT